>NC_000013.11:72802045-72953560 GCF_000001405.40 Homo sapiens | reverse complement strand
CGTCACTCCTCTCCTACCCCCATCAGAACTGGTGCTGGTACCCGCTGCTGGGAGAGTAGAGGACAGGTCACATCACTGGATCCTTGGCGGATATTCTCCAGTACCATCCTGGAGTGTGGGAGTCCCACTGAGCAGCTAGACCCAGAGGAGTAGCAGGATTCACAGTAGTCTGGCCCTCCAGGTAAAGGGGGAGTGCCGCACATTACGGAGGCACCGTGTGGGACAAAAGAAACCAGTCTGCAGGCCTTGAGTCCCTGAACTTTCCACTTGTGGGAAGTTGTTTTTCATCAGAGGCACAGGTGCAGTGCTGGGCTCATAGGGGGAAAGTCTACATGGAACATCAGTATTCCTGCAGATGAAAAGAGATGCCTTTCTGATTTGAACAGCTGGAACAGCAGGTCAGGAGTGTGCCTGGGAGGTGTATTACTTTCCTGTTGGCCTGGAAGGAGAGCTGTGGTGGCTCCCTCCCTTCTCCCTGAAAAGACCTCAGTGCATTTCATACACCTTCCCCAGCTGCTTCTGTCAAGGCTGGGAGCTCTGCTCACTATTAAGTATGGCATTTATCCACCTGCTTTAGTAGAAGCTGGTTTTTACCTATGGGCACCTCCTACTGGCCTCAAGCTTGCACTGTTCAACCATGTGAATAAAATACTGGGGATTTTTTTTTTTTTTCTTAAGGGCACATCACTAGGGAATGAGAGAAGCTTCATGAGACCTCTGCCATTCCAGCCCCACAGGAGACAGTGAACCTGCTCACAAATCCAGCACATCACTACTATCATCAGCATCTGAGAAAGCCATCACACAAAGATTCTCTACAACTAAGGAACTCAGAGTCTTCACACTGAAAATGCTGAGTCAAAGCTAGCTAAGAAACCATAAAGTCACATCCCCAACGAGTAAAAAAAAACTAAAAAAAAAAAAAACTCAGTTGAATTAGAAATAAATAAGTTCCTTCTCACTGGGGTAGACAAAATAGTCTACCCCAATAAGAAGAAACCAGAAAAATAATTCTGGCAATATGAAAAAAACGGGATTATATAACACCCCCAAAAGATCACAACAGCTCTCCAGCAGTGGATCCAAACCAAGATAATACTAGATAAATAATTTGAAATACTAGACAAATAATTTAAAAGGCTGACTAATAAGTTACTCAAGGAGATATGAGAGAAAGGTGAAAACCAACATAAAGAAATTAAAGCTGGGCCGGGCATGGTGGTTCACGCCTGTAATCTCAGCACTTTGGGAGGCCAAGGCAGGTGGATCACCTGAGGTCAGGAGCTTGAGACCAGGTTGGCCAACATGGCAAAACCCTGTCTCTACTAAAAATACAAAAATTAGCTGGGCATGGTGGTGTGTGCCTGTAATCCCAGCCATTTGGGAGACTGAGGTGGGATAATCGCTTGAACCTGGCAGAACAGCTTGAACTGAGGAGACAGAGGTTGCAGTGAGCCGCGATTGTGTCACCGCACTCCAGACGAGGCAACAGAGCAAGACTCCATCTCAAAAAAAAAAAAAAAAAGAGAAAAGAAAAGAAAGAAAGAAATTAAAAGAAATTAAAGCTGGATGCAGTGGCTCATGCACCTGGGGAGGCCGAGGCAAGCGGCTCACTTGAGGCCTGGCCAACATGGCCAACAAGACCAGCCTGGCCAATATGGTGAAACCCCGTCTCTACTAAAAATACTAAAATTAGCCAGGTTTGGTGGTGCACGCCTGTAGTCCCAGCTACTTGGAAGGCTGATGCATGAGAATTGCTTGAGCCTGGGAGGCAGAACACGGGATTTTTAGGGCAGTGAAACTACTCTGTGTGATAATATAATGACAGACACATGTCATTATGCATCTGTCTAAACCCCATAGAATGCACGACACCAGCCAGGCATGGTGGAGTCTTCCTAACTTTTGGCAACTGCTGTTTTACTGACTCCATAGTTTTGTCTTTTCCAGCATGTTACATAGTTGGAATCATACCGTACGTAGCCCTTTCAGATTGTCTTTGCCTATTTTTAAACGTTACCTTTTCTCTTCTGTCCTGTTTTTCCACCCCTTAGATATTATAAGACACAATCTGTTTTTAAAAAAATAAACCCCTGCATTTTCTGAGGAAATATTTCAATGAAAGTTGCTTTATTTGGAACTTAACATTTTACAAATGAGGACACTGAAACCAAAGAAGTTAAAAAACTTTTCCAAATTTACATAGCTAGTAATTGCCAAAGCTGAGATTTGAATCCAGTGAGTCTGGTTCCAGAATCATGTTCAGGCAATACTTGTTACTGCTTCCCAATAACAAAAAATAAGGCAATTATTAAAAATAACCCAGAATGTGAACACAAAAGAATCCCTCTCCCCTACGACCCGAAGATAAATAAGGTGTATTAAAGGCACACGCATGTGTGCACTGATGTGTGTGTACACAGGCACACACACAAATGATAAATAAATGTGACTAATTATCCACAAAGAAATATGCTTCACAACCATTCTTCCATACTAGAGATATCTGATTGCTTTTTGCCTGAATACCTACATTCATGCAGCATCTATAGGTCTGATGCCTTTTTCCTTGCTGATTGGCCACTTTCAGAAGAAACTTAAAAACCACGGCACTCACTTTGAGCCTCCTACATGCCCAGTGGGCTGGGAACTACAGGCAGGATGAACTGTCCGCAATCTTCTTCATTGCTTGTTTTTCTTCATATAACCCGTTAGGTTCTAAATGAGTATATATTTCACTTGACAAAAAATCTCTGTTTCTCCCCAACTCCAGTATGAGCACCAAAGGGCAGGAATTTCTGTGTCTTATTCACTAATCATCCCCAGAACCTAGAACAAATGCCTGGCCCATAATAGGTACTCAATAAATATTTGTTGAAAGAATGAATTTGATATTAGTACTGCTTAACACTTAACAAACATTATTACTAAACATACTTTATTTCTTATGATGAGCTAAATGGCATGACGGGCTAGAACAGTTTACGGTAACACTACTTTTATAAGTTATTCTAAGGCAAGTGCTCTGTGTATAAAAAGCCATAAATAAACAAATTTATTTGAGAAAAAGTAACACGGTTTCTGCAGTGGGAATTCTTGCTATTTATTGCAGTTCCTCAAGAACTATGTAACTGAGTGATTAAAATGTTAACACATAAATAGGAGGCCTTCAAAAAAGTCAACAAAGTTCAAAATAAGATTTTTCAAAGGAAATCACTATTGAATTGGAGGGGTACCTTTTTTTGAAGACGTGGTCTAAACACCTCTCTAGATAAAGAATGAAAGTATTGGGGTTCTCTGAGTCTTAGCCATATAGCTGTATTATAAATAATTCGGAGGAATAGAGTACAGACTAGAATTATTCAAATTTGTAAATGATACTAATTCCAACCAACTAAGAAAACCACAGCCAATTTGTTCAAGATTGCTCAAAGGGGCAGAAAAGGGACAGGACAAAAATATGGGGATACATAACAATTATTTCAGCAGTACGCAGTATTAATTCAAAATGATATAGAGGTTGGATTAGCTTGCTCCTACACATAGTAGACAAACACGTCTAGGAAGCATTCTGGATATTTATACAACAGTCACACCCGATGACTCCATATTTCTCTAGTATCCTTTATAATCATTCTTACTTTTTCACCTTTCTTTTTCAATTCTAAAACTGATTTTTCATGAAGGCTTCCATAAGATGAAAATATTACACATTTATCCAAATGAGTGTTTTCACACATAGGTTGCAAACAGTGTTAAAAAAATAATAATAAAAAAAGAAACAGAACAGAATAGCAACTAATAGAATGTACTGTACATAGTAAGGATATTGTTTCAGATACACACACACACAAATACACAACATATATTTGGGCACTGGGTTGCTATGTAAGGTACACTTCATACTACAGGTCATGGTCAAAAAAGTATGAAAGCTATTCGTTAGCTGGGTGCCGTGGCTCACGCCTGTAATCCCAGCACTTTGGGAGGCCGAGGCGGGCAGATCACCTGAGGTCAGGAGTTCAAGACCAGCCTGGCCAACAGGGTGAAACCCTGTCTCTACTAAAAATACAAAAAATTAGCTGGGTGTGGTGGCACACACCTGTAATCCCAGCTACTGGGGAGGATGAGGCAGGAGAATTGCTTGAGCCCAGGAGGCAGAGGTTGCAGTGAGCCGAGATTGTGCCAGTGCACTCTAGCCTGGCTGACAGAGCGAGACTCTGTCTCAAAAAAAAAAAAAAAAAAAAAAAAAAAAAAAAAGACAGCTATTTGTCTAGGTAGTAGTTACATTTTTAATTATAAAGGATTATATTTACATACAAATCAGCCCCAATCTTCCAAATCAGTCTCAGGTCAACTTTGTGGCCAGTTTTCCAAAAGCTTAATCACTTAGTGAAAATGTGATTTCAAGAATGGTCATATCATATATTACAGTATTCAGTATGTTCTCTGTTTTTCTTCTTCAATATGTTAAATATAGCTAATAACACATCCATCAGGAACCTAAGAGTAGACTGATTGTATTTGAATCATTTTTGTGAATTCTTTGATTCTTCTTTGATATACTTGTTGATATGGTTAGGCTTTGTGTTCCCATCCAAAGTTCATCCTCAACTGTAGTTCCCATAATCCCCACATGTCATCAGAAGAACCTGGTGGGAGGTATTAATCATGGGCGTGGTTACGCTCATGCTGTTCTCGTGACAGTGAGTTCTCACAAAATCTGATGGTTTTATAAGGGGCTTTCCCCCCTTTGTTCTGCACTTCTCCTTGCTGCCGCCATGTGAAGAAAGACATGTTGTTTGCTTACCCTTCCACCATGATTGTAAGTTTCCTGAGGCCTCCCCAGCTCTGTGGATCTGTGAATCAATTAAACCTCTTTCTTTTATAGATAGCAGTCTCAGGTATGTCTTTATTAGCAGCATGAGAATGGCTTAATACAGTAAATCAGTACTGGGTAGTGGGGCACTGATGTGAAGATACTTGAAAATGTGTAAGTGACTTTGGAACCGAGTAACAGGCAGAGATTAGAACAATTTGGAGGGCTCAGAAGAAGACAGGAAAATGTGTGAAAATTTGGAGCCTCCTAGAGACTGGTTGAACTTCCTAGAGCTTTGACCAAAATGCCAATGGTCATATGGACAAAAAGGTCCAGGCTGACTGAGGTAGTTTCAGATGGAGATGAGGAACTTCTTGGGAACTGGAGTAAAGGTCACTCTTGCTATGCAAAGACACTGGTGGCATTTTGCTGCTGCCTTAGAGATCTGTGGAACTTTGAACTTGAGAGAGATGATTTAGGGTATCTGGGGGAAGAAATTTCTTTTTCTTTTTTTTAAATTATACTTTCAGTTTTGGGATACATGTGCAGAACGTGCAGGTTTGTTACACAGGTATACATGTGCCATGGTGGTTTGCTGCACCCATCAACTCGTCTACACTAGGTACTTCTCCTAATGCTATACCTCCCCTAGCTCCCCACCCCGAGACAGGCCCTGGTGTGTGATGTTCCCCTCCCTGTGTCCATGTGTTCTCATTGTTTAACTCCCACTTATGAGTGAGAACACGTGGTGTTTGGTTTTCTGTTCCTGTGTTAGTTTGCTGAGAATGATGGTTTCCAGCTTCATCCATGTTCCTGCAAAGGACATGAACTTTTTTATGGCTACATAGTATTCCATGGTGTATGTGCCTCATTTTCTTTATCCAGCCTATCATTGATGAGCATTTGGGTTGGTTCCAAGTCTTTGCTATTGTGAATAGTGCTGCAATAAATATATGCGTACACGTGTTTTTATATTAGAATGATTTATAATCCTTTGGGTATATACCCAATGATGGGATTGCTGGGTCAAATGGTATTTCTGGTTCTAGATCCTTGAGGAATCGCCACACTATCTTCCACAATGGTTGAACTAATTTACACTCTGGGGGAAAAATTTCTAAGAGGCAAAGCATTCAAGAGGAAGTAGAGCATAAAATTTGGAAAATTTGCAGCCTGCCAATATGATAGAAAAGAAAACCTCATTTTCTGGGGAGAAATTTGAGCCTCTTGCAGAAATTTGCCTATGTAACAAGGAGCAAAATGTTAATTGCCAAGACAATGGTGAAAATGTCTCCAGGGTATGTCAGAGACCTTCACAGCAGCCCCTCCAATCACAGGCCTGGAGCCCTAGGAGAGAAAAATGGTTTCCTGGGGCCAGGCCCAGGGCCCCCCTGCTCTATGCAGCTTCGGGACATGGTGCCCTGCATCCCAGCTGCTTCAGCTCCAGCCATGACTAGAAGGGGCCAATGTACAGCTCGGGCCAATGTACAGCTCAGGCCATTGCTTCAGATGGTGCAAGTCTCAAGCTTTGGCAGCTTCCACGTGGTGTTGGGCATGCAGGTAGGGGTACAGAAGTTAAGAACTGAGGTTTGGAAACCACTGACTAGATTTCAGAGGATGTATGAAAACTCCTGGATGTTCAGGCAGAAGTTTGCTGCAGGGGCAGAGCCCTCATGGAGAACCTCTGCTAGGGCAGTGCGGAAGGGAAATGTGGGGTTGGAGCACCCACAAAAAGTCCACACTAGGACACTGCCTAGTGGAGCCGTGAGAAGACGGCCACCGTCTTCCAGACCCCAGAACTGTAGATCTACTAACACCTTGCACTGTCTGCCTGAAAAGTTGTAGACACTGCCAGCCCATGAAAGCAGCTGGGAGCAGGGCTGAACCATGCAAAGCCACAAGGGCAGAGCTGCCCAAGACCGTGGGAGCCCACCTCTTGCATCAATGTGACCTGGATGTGAGACGTGGAGTCAAAGGAGGTCATTTCGGAGCTTTAAGATTTGACTGTCCTGTTGGATTTTGGACTTAACATGGGGCCTGTAGCCCCTCCATTTTGGCCAGTTTCTCCCACTTGAAATGGGTGTATTTACCCAATGCCTGTACCCCCACTGTATCTAGGAAGTAACTAACTTGCTTTTAATTTTGCAGGCTCATAGGCGGAAGGGACTTGCCTTGTCTCAGATAAGACTTTGGCCTTGGACTTTTGGGTTAATGTTGGAAAGAGTTAAGACTTTGGGGAACTGTTGGAAAGGCATGATTGTGTTTTGAAATATGAGGACATGAGATTTGGGAGGGTCCAGGTGCAGAATGATATGGTTAGGTTTTGTGTCCCCATCCAGATCTCACCCTGAATTGTAGTTCCTAAAATCCCCATGTGTTGTGGGAGGGACCCAGTGGGAAGTAATTAATCATGCGGGCAGTTACCCTCATGCTGTTCTCATGATAGTGAGTGAGTTCTCACAAGGTCTGATGGTTTTTGTAAGGGGCTTTTCCCCCTTTGCTTGGCAGTTCTTGCTGCCACCATGTGAAGAAGGACGTGTTTGCTTCCCCTTTCACCATGACTGTAAGTTTCCTGAGGCCTCCTCAGCCCTGCAGAACTGTGAGTCAATGAAACCTCTTTCCTTCATTGATTACAGTCTCAGGTATGTCTTCATTGGCAGTGTGAGAACGGACTAATACACTTGCCAACCTAATGGAAGCTCACTCAGTTGGAGAGCTTCTTTCAGGCCTCAAGAAGTCTGGACACACTGGCCAACTCAGGGGTTTCATGTTCTGGAAAGTCCAGTTAACCCAAGCAGAACTTATGTGGTTTCATAAAGTGCTATGACTGGCATTAAGTAGGCTCTCAAAATTACTAGCTATTCTTATTTATACATATATATTCGTATAATCATTTTTGTTATATTTACTGAAAATTGATAATAGACTATGATATCATTACTCTTAAATGTTTATATTCATTTTTGTCTTATTATTATTGCTTAGCTTTGGCTTTTTGATTCAACAAATTTATTTTGTCAGTAATTCATATTCTCTAATTTGAATATAACAATTCTGGTTAATTTGAAGCTTTTCTTTGTTTTAAAAAACAGTTTTTCAAAAAATGATCATCACTAATCACCAGAAAAATGCATATCAAAACTACAATGAGGTACCATCTCATACCAATCAGAATAGCTTTTATTAAAAAGTCAAAACTGGTGAGGCTGAGGAGAAAAGGGAATGCTTGTATATTGTTGGTAGGAATGTAAGTCAGTTCAGCCATTGTGGAAAGCAGTTTGGAGATTTCTCAAAGAACTTGAAACACAGCTATCATTCAACCTAGCAATCTCATTACTGGGTATAAACCCAAAGGAACATAAATCATCTACCAAACACATGCACTCACATGCCCATCACAGCACCATTTACAATAATGAAGACATGGAATCAACCTACGTGCCCATAACAATGGATTGGATAAAGAAATTATCATACATATACACCATGGGATACTATGCAGCAATAAAAAAGAATGAAATTGTGTCCTTGCAGCAACACAGATGCAGCTGGAGGCCACTACCCTAAGTGATTTAATGCACAAACAGAAAGCCAAATACTCCATATTTTTACTTATAAGTGGGAACTAAACATTGCATACATATGGACATAAAGATGGGAACAACAGACTCTGGGAACTAGCAATGGGGAGAGGGAGAGGGGGCCAAGGGTTGAAAAACTATTGGGTATGATGCTCACTACCTGGGTGACAGTAGCAATTAAACTCCAAACCTTACCATCACATAATATACCCAGAGAAATACAAAAATCAGCCGGGCACTGTAGCAGGAGCCTGTAATTCCAGCTACTCAGGAGGCTGAGGCAGGAGAATCGCTTGAACCAGGGAGGCAGAGGTTGCAGTGAACCGAGATTATGCCACTGCACTCCAGCCTGGGCAAGAGAGTAAGACTCCATCTCAAAAAAACCAACCAACAAAAAACCCAGATAATAAACCTGCCCATGTACCCCTGAATCTAAAATAAAAGTTGAAATTAAAAAACAAGAACATTCACTGTTTATGTTTTGATCATATAAACACTATTCATCAATGAATACTTGTCTTAATTAAAAAAAATAAAACAAAAATGCAGCTTTTCACTTTTCTCCTAAAATGCTTAGTTTGTATGCAATTAAATACACTTCTGCATTTGATAAGAGCAGAAATTATTTAAATTATTATTAAACATTTTGCTATTGTGTTAAAATTGATTTTATTGTTTATTCTGAATACTTCTTTTTCTTCTTTTTTTTTTTTTAGACAGTCTTGCTCTGTCACCTAGGCTAGAGTCCTGCGGTGGTGCAATCTCAGCTCACTACAACCTCTGCCTCCTGGGTTCAACCGATTCTCATGCCTCAGTCTCCCAAGTAGCTGGGATTACAGGTGCCCACAACCACGCCCAGCTAATTTTTGTATTTTCAGTAGAGACAGGGTTTCACCATGTTGGCCAGGCTGGTCTTCAACTCCTGACCTCAGGTGATCACCCCGCCTCAGCCTCCCAAAGTGCTGGGATTACAGGCATTAGCCACCACACCCGGCTTATTCTGAATACTCCTATATAGGCAAAATCATTATTTACTCCAATTCTGGACCTATTATTTCCTTTAAAAATTGCCAGATTTACAAGAAAAATACTTATTTTATTAATATTATGGCCAGCAAGAGAAAAATAAATGAAACTCTAGAACAGAAATAAGATCCTACATTTACCGAGTGATTAACATATGCCAGTTAGTGTGCTAAGTGCTCATCTTAGATTGAACCCTCTCTCATTTTGGAGCAAACATGCAATATAGTATTATTATTTCCACTTACACTTTGGAAAACTGAGGCTTACAAAAAGATAACTTGCCTAAAGTCATATAACCAGTCTGCCTAACTTGAAAGTTCTTGGCTTTTTCCCCTTTTCCCCTAAACAAACAAGGTAGAACCCTGGGGCATGTCAACACTTAAGACATAATCAGAGAAAAAGAAGTCAACAAAGGAGACTGAGGAGTACGAAGGTAACAAAGTGGTGGGAGGAGACAGCAAGTGAAGATTTGGGAAGAGGGGAGATGACAGAAGATGAGGATGAGAAGTAGATTAGAATCAAATTGGCCATCTATGCCACGCTAAAGAATCTGGACATTGTCTTGTAGGCCATGGGCCTTTAAAAATAAGTCATGATTGACAGCACAGAGGACAGTTTTGGATAGGGAACTTTTAAAAAATTATTAATTTTTAAATTGATACATAATTATATGCATAGGGTATATGTGATATTTTGATACATGCATATGTGAAAATCAAATAGGGATATTTAGGACATCAATAACCTTAAACATTTGTCATTTCTTTGTATTAGGAACATTTCAAATCTTCTAGCTATTTTGAAATATACAATAAATTATTGTAAACTACAGTCATCCTATTGTGCAATTAAACACTACAACTCATTCCTTCTATCTAACTTTATGTTTGCATCCATTAACCACCCTCTCTTCATTCCCCATCTTCACCTTCCCAGGTTCTGGTGACTATTATTCTACTATTATTCTAGTAAGGTAAAGACTTTTGATAGGCTGATGAATTAAAGTTCACTTGCTAAATTAAAAAAAAATTCAGGCAATGTAGTATCTCATCTAAGTGTTATTTTTTAAGCCTTGTATTTCTAGTAATGAAATAAATGCCACTGTTCTTTACTAAACGATATTTTTCTTTTTTTGAGACAGAGTCTTGCTCTGTCACCTGGGCTGGAGTGCAGTGACACAATCTTGGCTCACTGCAACCTCTGCCTCCCAGGCTCAAGCAATTCTCTTGCCTCAGACTCCCAAGTAGCTGGGACTATATGTGCACACCACCACACCCGGATGATTTTTGTATTTTTAGTAGAGACAGGGTTTCATCATGTTGGTCAGGCAGGTCTCGAACTCCTGGCCTCAAGTTATCTGCCTGCCTTGACCTCCCAAAGTGCTGGGATTACAGGTGTGACCCACTGTGCCCAGCCTACTAAAGGATTTTTAATATCAACAAACAGACAAACATTTTGAAAGGCAAAGGAACCCTATAAATCATACTGTTTTTAATCTCTTCTATGAAAATAGCATACATCTTATAATTGCTGTTGATAAAGCCCATGCATGAAAAAATTGGTCTTGGCTGTTCATATTATTACTTCAATTGAGTTTTGAGTATGGCTAGTCCTTCATAGGCTGAGTACAATTGTCATTTAAGTATCTAAAAAGATCACAAGGGATTCGGCATTGAAACAGAAGAAAAACACAGAAACAGAGTTGTGCAATATAGGACAAAAATCACTGCCTAAAGTCTAAAAGAAAGTATGTCTAAAATGAAAAAAATTAAAGTAATAGCAAAGCATTGTATCACAGTTTAATCAGCAGCATCCTCCACTCTTCCTCACAGTGGTACACAAAACAGTGGGTTTTTTTTTTTTTTTTTTACATCATTGAAGTCTTAGAAATATGGTTGACCTTGAAATTTAATCAGATCTAGATTGTTTAGGGCCACATGGTAGGTATGTGAGTCTCCTCCTTTATAATGTTGAGGTGTGGTCCTGTGAGTTGTATGTGCCACAGACTCTTTCCAAGAGACTGAGCTCACTGGGGATGCTGGAAGAACACTCCTAGCAGTTGTTAGAGGCAGAAGAATGGGTCAGGCAACTCAAGGGGCAGAGATAAATGTTTTATTACTTCAAGTACTTACTTTATACCAATAAAGCTCATTTCATATTGCTAATCCATGACTAGTGGTATTTGTGTCCCCTTTGCATGACATATTTTCAGATTTTTTTCATTTTCTGTATGTTTAAACAGAAACACAATCCCATCCTCTCTGTATATGCTGGGTACATGCACACACACAAATATATTAAAACCCAAACAGAGAAACAGAAATTATTCTGCAATTTGTTTTTTGAAAAATCATCAATACAGTATAAATTTCTTTCAAAGTTAATACATATAGGTCTACTTTATTTTACCTATGCACCTTGACGCCTCTTTCAAATCTAGCAATGCCTTCTAGGTACAAAATTCCAGGTAGCTAAACCTTGCCATGTGGTTACTGATGACTGTGCATGTCCCACTTTCTAGACAAGCTTCCTGAAATTAAGTCAGTTGTAAAAGATAAATCTCTGCGTGCTTACAGTAGAAAATAAGGCCTTTGTGAATAAGGTTGGTTATGTTAGAAGTGAAAAACCATGTCTATTTTGTCATCAGTTGTTGAATATAGTGGGAAATTGATAAATATTTACTGAATAACTAGAAGGAGAGCATATATCAAGGTTTGAGGCAGCTAAGAAAGACCAATTCTTAGCTGCCTTACTGTTGGCAGTAATGTGGCACACTTTATGATTCTGGATTTTCTACTGTTTAACAAACTCCACACTGACACTTGACTCTTAACTAAACTTGGCAGTTTCTTGAGAATTAGTGGGTATACACAAATACACAAAAAAGAATAACTTGTTTTCTCTGTTATACTGGACCAACTAATAAAACAACGGTCGAAAGACATTGGACATCATGCAATGAAGGAGATCCCTGACACACAGGAAACAAACAAGGTAAACTCTATGACTGCCTTAGTTTATTGACTAGAGACAGCTTTCAAGCTGTGGTGCTGGGAAGGAGAATTAAGGCAGAGCCTGTCAAATTCCCTGAGTTAAGGAGCTGTTGATAGAAGTAATAACCAAGGTGGTTACAGTTCATATGGGAGACTACTGAAGAAAAGGGAGCTGCAAAGAGACAGAACTCTGACAATTTACAGATAGTGCCCCTTAAGTATTTACCTGGCACAGAACAGTGCATATGTATAAAGACAGGAGACAGAACTACAGACAAGATTGGTAGGAGCAATCTCTGAAGTGAACATGGGCAAGGCATAGTGCTTATTTCCATCAGCCAAAGTAGAAAACCTTACAATTTACAGGACATGGAATACTCAAAGAGTTTGGTTGTAGTAATGGGGGAGAAATTGGCCTTACGATAAACCCTTCTCTGCCTAAAAAAGCTTAAAAGCAAGATTTGGAAGAATCAAACTGTTTCCAAGAAACCTAACTATGTCCCAGAACAAAGCTAACAAAAACATATAGGAATACAAAATATATAGCATCAAGGTAAAATTTACAAGGTCTGGCATCCAGTAAATAATTACTACATATGCAAAGAAGCTGAACAATGTGATATATAATGAGAAAATTCAAATTTATTGAAGGCAGCCATGAAATGACAAAATAATAGAATTAGTAGGCAAGAATATAAAAAAGTTATTGAAATTATATTTCACATATTCCAGAAAATAAAGTTTGAGAATGTTAAGGAGAGACCTAAAAGACACAAAGAAGATCCAATTTGAACTTCTAGAAATGAAAACTACAATATCTGAGATAAAAACTGGATTGAACTGAAAGCAGATTATACAGTGGTGAAAAAAAGATTAGTGAACTGGAAGACACAGTAAAAGAAGCTATTCAAAAGAAAAGCAGAAAAAAGACTGAAAAAAACTGAAGAGAACATCATTTGTTCTGTTGTAGAATAACTTTAAGCAACCTAATATATATCTCATTGAAGTCCTCAAAGGAAGGTGAGAGGATTGAAGTATTTAAAAATTTAAGAAATTTATAAATTTGATAAACTCACATATGTAAGATGTTCAACAAAACCCAAGCATAGGAAACATGAAGAAAACTCCAGAAAGCCAAATGATAATCAAATTGCTTACAGCCAGTGACTAAAAATCTCTTAAAAGCAGCTAAAGAAATACACATTACCTAGAGAGGAACAAAGATAAGGATGACGGCAATATCTTGGCAGAAACGATGCAAACTAGAAGGGAGTGAAGCAGTATCTTTCAACTACTGAAAAAGAGAGAGAGGGAGAGAAAAGTCAACCTCAAATTCCTTACCCAGGGAAAATATCTTTCTAAAAAACAAAGGTGAACCCAGCAAATCCATTCCCAGGTATACACTTAAAAGAAATGAAAACAGGTACTCATACATTTGCTTGTATTTGCGTGTTCATAGCAGCGCTTTTTACAATAGTCAGAAGGTGGAAATAACCTAAATGTTCATCAAAGGATAAATGAATAAACAAATTAAGGTAAATATACACAACAGAATATTATTCGGCCATAAAAAGGGTTAAAGTACTGGATACATGCTACAATATGGATGAACATCAAAAACAGTATGCTCAGTGAAAGAAACCAGACACAAAACGTCACATATTGTATGATTCCATTTATATGAAACATATCCAGATGAAGTAAATCCACAGAAATAAAGTGATTTGGCAGTTGTCAGAGGGTGGGGGCAAAGAGGAGTGGGTATTAAGTGCTTAATGGGTACAAGGTTTTATTCTGGGGTGATGAACATGTTTTAGGACTAGATAGAGATAGTGATTGTACAACACTGTGAATGAATATTAAACGGTTTACTTTAAAATGGTTAATCTTATGTCATGTGAATTTCACCTCAATAAAAAACCCACAAAACCAAAGGTGAAGCACAAGACACCTAAGATAAAGTAGATTTTATCAAAATTAAAGACTTTTGTGCCTTGAAGGACACTAACAAGTGGAGGAAAGACAACCCACACAGAATGGGAGAAAATATTCGCAAATCATGTATTGGATAAAGGTCTAGTGTCCAGAATATATAAAGAACTCTTACAACTCAACAACAGAAAGACAACCCAATTCAAAAGTGGGCAAATGACTCGAACAGACATCTTTCTAAAGAAGATATATAAATGGCCAATAAGAACCCAAAATGATAGTTAACATTATTAACCTAATTAGAGAAATGCAAAGCAAAATCATTAGAAGATACTACTTTGTAATTGCCAGGATGGCTAGAGTTAAAAAAATGAAAAATAAGCATTGGTGAGGATGTGGAAAAATTGGAACCCCTGAAATGGCTGGTGGGAATGTAAAATGGCATAGTCACTACGAAAAACAGTTTTGCAGTTTCTTGAAAAGTGAATCATAGAATTACCATTTCATCTTGAATTCCACTTAACGAGAATTGAAAACAGGTGTTCAAACAAAAAATTTGAACATGAAATGTTCACAGCAGCACTATTCAAAACAGACAAAAATCCATTAACTGATGGATAAACAAAATGTAGTTAATCTGCAAAATGGAATATTATTCAGTCATAAAAAGGAACTGAGCACTGATAGATGGCAAAATACGAACCCTGAAAACATTATGCTAAGTGAAAGGAGCCAGACACAAAAGGCCAAATATTGCATGATTTCATTTATATAACATATCCAGAACAGGCAAATCCATAGAGAGAGAGAGAGCACATTATTGCTTGTGGGGGACTGAGGTGGAGGCGGGAATGGGGAGTCACTGCTTAATGGGTACAGGGTTTCCTTCCCAGGTGATGGAAATGCTCTTTTACTAGATAGTGGTGCTGTGTATGAAACACCATACACATACCATGAGCTACTAAATCGTATACTTTAAAATGGTTAAAATGGTAAATTTTGTTATCTGAATTTTACCACAATAAAAAAAGTAAACTCTTAAATGGCTACTTTCAGTTAATTTGGCCTTATTCCATATCTGTGAGAATTGCATTTTAACCTAGACTTTTGTCAAAAATAGTCAGAAATGTAAAAACAAAAAAACTAAAAATAGGCAAAATAGCAACTTTTTGCTATATACAGAAACAGAATTCATCACCATAGACCTGCTCTATAAAAATTGTTAAAGGAAGTGCATCAACCAGAAGGAATAGATAACAGTTTGAAATTTAGGCCTACAAAAAGGAATAAAGAGCACAAGGTATGGTAACTATTTAAATTTAACATATTTCCCTCATATTATTATATCTCTTTATAAGATTATCACTGTTTATTTCATTTCATTTATTTTTTTTTGAGATGGAGTTTCACTCTTTCGCCCAGGCTGGAGTGAAGTGGCGCGATCTCGGCTCACTGCAACCTCGAACCCCTAGGTTCAAGCTATTCTCCTGCCTCAGCCTCCCGAGTAGCTGGGATTACAGGTGCCTGCTACCACACTAAATTTTGTATTTTTAGTAGAGACAGGGTTTTGCCATGTTGGCCAGGCTGGTTTCAAACTACTGACCTCAGGTGATCCACCTGTCTCAGCCTCTCAAAGTGCTAGGATTACAGGCATGAGCCACTGTGCCCAGCCTGATTATCACTGTTTAAGTAATAATAGCAGTAATGTAGTATGGGAGTTTATATGTGTATAAATAAAATGTACGACAACAAGAACACAAAGGCTGGGGGAACAAATAGAAGAATACTGTTGTAAGGTTCTTATACCATATGTTTTACTAAATATCACTTGGAGCTACATGGTGATAAGTTAAAGATACATATACACTATAATCTAAATCAACCACTGAAATAACAAAGTTATAGCCAATAAGCAACAATAAGATAAAATGAAATAAAAAAATTCAATTAATCCAAAAGAAGACAAGAAAAATAAAGTGAATAAAAAGTAGATGGGCCAAACAGAAAACATTAGCAAGATGAAAAACTTGAACATAACCATATCAATAAATATACTAGATGTTAAGTGTTCTAAAAAAATCTCCAATTGAAAATCATATTTTGTCAGACGGGTTAAAAGAAGAAGGCTGGAAAAACATACACTTTGCTAATGCTAATGTTTTAGTAGTTTTCACTGTAAAAGTTTGACAATAAAAGATGTCAAACAGTTGACAGTTTTTAGTTATACAGTGAAAACTAAAAAATAATAGTATTAAGATAAATTAAAGAAGACGTAAATAAGGGTAAAGATACAGTATGTTCATGGGTCAGAATATTCAATATTAAGATGTCAATTTTCTCTGCTTCATCTATATATTCAACTTACGTAATGTCAACCAAAATCACAGCTAGTTTTTGAAAAAAAAATTAACAAACTGATGATAGAATTCATATAGAAATGCAAAAAAAACACCCAGCTAAACAACTTTGAAAATGAACAGCATTGGAGGACCAATACTATCTGATTTCCAGATATTATAAAGCTACAGCAATCAAGATAGTGTGGTATTGACATAAAGACAGATAACTGGAACAGAGAGTCGAGAACAGTCTCACACATAAATGATTGTTTCTCAACAAATGATGCTACAACAGTTGTGTTTCAATTATGCAAACATATCAATTTCAATCTATATCTTCCACTCAGTATAAAAATTAAACTAAAAATGAATCACAGACCTAAAACTATGAAACATCTAGAATTAAAAATAGACAAAACCCCTTATGACCCTAGGTTAGGCAAAGATATTTAAAATACAACACCAAAGCACAATCCATAAAAGAACAAAGTGATGAACTGTACTTGATAAAAGCATCTCTTCAAAAGACATTGTTGGCTGGGTGGGATGGCTCACACCTGCAATCCCAGCACTTTGGGAAGCCAAGGTGGGAAGATCACTTGAGCCCAGGAGTTCGAGACAACCTGAGCAACATAGTGAGACCTCATCTCTACAAAAAAATAAAAAAAATTAGCCAGGTGTGGTTGCAGGTAACTGCAGTCCTAGTATTTGGGAGGCTAAGGCTCCCAATAGTTTGAGGCTCTTGAGTCCAAGAGTTCGAGGCTGCAATGAGCTATGATTACACCACTGCGCTCCAACCTGGGCAACAGAGTGAGACTCTGTCTCTAAAAATAAATAATAAATAAATAAATAAATAAATAAAAAGACATCATTAAGAGGTGAAAAGATAAGCCACAGGGTGGGAAAAAATATTTGTAAATCATATATCTGATAAATGACTTGTATTTAGGATATATAAATAATACTCAAAACTCAAGAATAAGAGGACAAACAACCTGATAAAACAGACAAAAAATGTGAGGAGACACTTCTCCCAAGAAGATAAACAGAGGGCAAAGAAACTCAAATGAGAAGATCCTCAAAATCATTCGTCATTAGAGAAATGCAAATTAAAACCACACTAATATGCCACTACACACCCATTATAGTGGATAAAAAAACTAACCATATCAAGGCAAGGATGTAGAAAAATTGGAACTTTCATACATTATTGGTGGAAATGTAAAATGGTACAAACATCTGGGAAACAGTTTAGCAGTTTCTTAAGATGTCAAATAGACACCTACGATATGATCCGGCCAGTCTACTCCTAGATATTTACCCAAGAGAAATGAAAGCATACGTCCATACAAAGACTTGTATGTGAATGTTCATCTGAGCTTTATTCAGAAAACTGGAAATGACTCCAATGTCCATCAACAAGTGAATGGATAAACAAACTGTGGTACTTCCACACAACGAAATGTTACTCAGTAATGAAAAAAATGAACTACAAATAAATCTTGAAATAATTATGCAGAGTGAAAGGAGACATTAAAAAAAGCATATACATACTATATGATTCCTCTTATATAAAAGTCTAGGAAATACAAGCTAGGCTTGCTCACGCCTGTAATCCCAGCACTTTGAGAGGCTGAGACAGGTGGATCACAAGGTCAGGAGTTCGAGACCAGCCTGGCCAACATAGTGAAACCCCGCCTCTACTAAAAATACAAAAATTATCCGGGAATGGTGGCACATGGCTGTAGTCCCAGCTACTTGGGAGGCTGAGGCAGGAGAATTGCTTGAACCCAGGAGGCAGAGGTTGTGGTGAGCCAAGATTGCACAACTGCATTCCAGCCTGGGCAACAGAGTGAGGCTCTGTCTCAATAAACAAACAAACAAACAAACAGACAGACAAACAAACTAACTAACTAACTAACCTACAGTAACTGAAAGTAAATCAGTAATTGCTTAGGGACTGAGATGGGGAAGGTTGGGAGGCAAGAATTCCAAAGGGGCATATGGAAACTTTTGGGGAGATATATGTGTTTATTACCTTCATTTTGGTGATAGTTTCATAGGTATATTCATGTGCCAAATGTCAAACTGCACTATACCTTAAATATGTGCAATTTACTGTATATCAATTATACTTCAATAAAGCTGCTAAAAAGGGGAGTATTTGTTTTTATTTTGGGTATTACTTAGCATTGTCATTTTGTCAGTTCACTTATGTACAATCTCAGACATAATCTGAATAGTGTTTAACTCAATGGTAATTCTAACATTAGTTATCAGTATTTCATCTGTGTATTATCAAAAAGGCCAAACTGATTTAAATATTTAACCTGATCCAAAGAATAGAGATCCTGAACCAGCCTAGCCAACATGGTGAAACCTTATCTCTACTAAAAATACAAAAAATTAGCCCAGCGTGGTGGCGTGCACCTGTAATACCAGCTACTCGGGAGGCTGATGCAGGAGAATCACTTGAAACTGGGAGGCAGAGTTGCAGTGAGCCAAGAATGCACCACTGCACTCTAGCCTGGGCGAGAGAGCGAGACTCTGTCTCAAAAATAAATAAATAATAAAATAAAATAAAGAATAAAGATCCTGAGATAATTTCCATCTGTATTATTTCACCATCTATTATGAATAGTCTATTGTTATAACAGCAATCTAATACTAATCATTCATCTAGTTTATATAATTATTTTCAGTGTAAGCAATATAATTTTTGTAAAGCAGAAAAAAGTAAAGTCCATAGAATACTTTAAATATTTTATTTTCAATCTTAAGGGAAAAGTTATATACTGAAGTTGGCATAGATCCTTTAATATAGGGTTACTGATTCTTTCTCCAAATGTCTTATGAAATTTTTTCAAACATACACAAAAGTCCAGAACTCACTACTAAACCTATATGTAAACGTCATCCAACTTCAAACATTATTAACATTTTGTGATTCTTGTTTTATTTGTTAAGCCCTTCCTCCTTTTCTCATGAAATATTTTAAAGCAAATTCCAGGCACCATACCATTTCACATCATAAATATTTCAGCATTTAAGTCTTTTTCTCAATATAAGCCATAGCTTATTTAAAAATGGTTTCATACAAAGTTAATTATACTTAATTATAGGAGCATTTAACACTTAATTTCTTACATTTTCTCCCAACAATTTATAGACGTGTGTTCACATTTAGAAATTCTTTCTTTTTATTTTTGAGACTAGAGTTTCCCTCTGTTGCCCAGGCTGGAGTACGATGGCACGATCTCAGCTCACTGCAACCTCCGCCTCCCAGGCTCAAGTGATTCTCGTGCCTCAGCTTCCCAGGTAGCTGGGATTACAGGCATGTGCCATCATGCCCAGCTAATTTTTGTATTTTTAGTAGAGACAGGGTTCCACCATGTTGGCCAGGCTGGTCTTGAACTCTTGACCTCAAGTGATCCCCCTGCCTTGGCTTCCCAAAGTGCTGGGATTACAGGCATGAGCCAGTGCACCCGGCTTCTTTATTTTTAGAGATGGTGGATCTTGCTTTGTAGCCAAGGCTCAAACTCCTCAGCTCATGTGACTCTCCTGCCTTGGCCTCCGAAAGTGCTGGGATAATAGGCATGAGCCACTGCATCCAGCCCACATTTAGAAATTCTTATTTCAATTAACTGAAATGCTCAGGAAGGCATGTATTTTAATATTTTACTTTTAAAAAATATTTTTGAAAATTACTGTGAAATTAAAGGCAACATGAGGGATCTACAATATATTAGCAAACAGAGGTTTGTTTGTTTGTTTATTATCTTTTCTGCTTCCACCTAGCAGTGTGCTGGACTTGGCTTGCAGCAGCTTGTAGGAGTTCTCTATTATTTCATACAAAGACTTGTACATGAATGTTCATATGAGCTTTATTCCAAAAACTGGAAATGACTCCAATGTCCATCAACAAGTAAATGGATAAACAAACTGGTACATCCACACAAAGAAATTACTCAGCAATGAAAAGAATGAAGTACAAATGAATCCTGAAAATTTTTAGGAATTTTGTGGGCTGGCTATCAAACACAACTAGCATTAAAAACTAAACTAAATTATTTAAATTTATAGTAAAATACATTTTATTAAAAACAAAGGTAAAAACAATCAAATTTGTCAATTTAAAATTATTTTACTATTATCTGTGCTCTTGAGTTTACCTATGTCTGTTGTATCTGTATGGTGCAAACATTAAGTACTGGTATGCTGCTGACAATCTTTACTCCATCTTCAGTAACCTTAGGTTGGTAGTTTGAAGTCAGCCATGGTGGGAGTATTTATAAAAGAGATACAAGCCAATGTTACAAATCAAGCTCTCCCTCATATCCCTCTTGGAAAGCTGGCTGTTAACATTTACCAACACACCACTGTGTCAACCCCAAGCATTAACTATGTGTCAGGAACTGCAATAAAATGAAGTATTTCTGGTCTTTCGAAATTTGAGGATAAAGATCCTCCTAATGTTATAGTATGAAAAGACACTCTAAAGAATATAAACAGATCCTTAAGAAAACAAATAATAAACAACATATATTAATGTTATTTAATGTATGACTTGAAAAAACCCTTTGTTATAAGAGAAATAGTTTTTAAAACTTTTAAAATATTAACTTCTTGGCTGGGTGCAGTGGCACATCTCCAATCCCAGTACTTTCAGAGGCCCTAGGCAGGTGGATCGCTTGAGCCCAGAAGTTCTAGACTAGCCTGGGCAACATGGTGAAACCCTGTCTCTACCAAAAAAATACAAAAATTAGCCAGGCACAGTAGTGCGTAGCTACAGTTCCAGCTACTTGGGAGGCTGAGGAGGGAGGAGTCCTTGACCCTGGGAGGCAGAGGTTGCAATGAACTGTGATCATGCCACTGCACTCCAGTCTGGGCGATAAAGCCAGACCCTGTCTCAGAAAAAAAAAAAAAAAAAAAGAAAGAAACAAAGAAAAAAACGGAAAAACTTCTTATGTTGACACTCAGGAATATTAAATAAATAAATAAAAGGAACATTAGCAAAGTAGTACCTCCGGTTTAAATTGTTTTATGACTCGCATTTCAAAAGTACAGAAAAATAAAATTAGATCTTGACATCAGAAGATGATTAAAAATGCTATGTAAAATGCATACATATATATATATATATATATATATACGTAGTTTAAATGACATAAGGCTAAGAAAAAGAAGCAATATGAGCCTGATTTTCTAAGTGTAAACAAAGTTAAATTTAACAGAGGAGTGATTTCTCATTAAACACAGAGGTAAAAACCAAATCTATCTTAAAAATGATTAGTAAAAAACTTAAAATGTCACCAAAGTTTGCCAAACCTGTTTTACCAGTTGATATTCTCAGAAATCAAAGCTCTGTCTGTCTAGTCTGCATTTATACTTAGTCTGGGCATTTAATCTCCCTTTTGTTCTCAGTTTTGCCATACACTGTAAGTTGTTTTTTATGGCCTTAACATTCAGTTAGTTTCATAAATTGTGAAATCATTTTGTACTAGCAAACAGCTTATTTTAAAACTGCTTAGAAAAATAAAAGAGTTACAAACAATTAAAATGAATACTGTGATTCTTCATATGGGTTTCTTTAAGTTATTTACCTCTTGTGAAAGCTGTGTTACTTGGTCCTTTCGATGTTCCAGATCTTTTAAAATCAGCGAGTTTTGTTTTTCTAATTGAAGCACTCTTCTTGCCAAGTGAACACTAGGCAAATGAAATAAGAAAATTAATGCTTAAAAGTGAAATACTGCCCAAAATATTCAAAATGTGTTTGTGTACTTGAAAATAGACATCATTTCCTAATTATACTTAAATATTAACAGAAAAAATATAGAGTCAAATAATATTTTCAGGCACCAGTAGTGGAAGACCAATACCCCACAACTCAGAATTATGAGAGTAACAACATTAAAACATAACCGTGATAGACTGATTACTGCAGTAACGGTTTTTAGCCCTTGCTATAAAAGTGGAGAGGTAACATTATAACACTTGCTTGAAAAGACCACAATACAGCAATTTACAGCTTGTCTCCACTTTTATAAATATTTTCCAATTACAAATCAGAAAATTAGTTGAAATATTACAAACAATAATTAGCTTATCACTTTGAGAAGTATCAGAGTTTACTTTAAACAACATAATGCATGTTATAATATAAAACAAAAATGAGGTTTTTAATTGAAAGTGGAGATGAAAAAGATATATAAAACTTAGAGAATGTCTATAGTAAAGGCTAAGCTTCTGTACTAAAAGAAAAAAATCACTCCCTCTGATGCTCTGCATTACCATAACTTATTGCACTGACCTTTAGTATTTAAAATTACATATGAAACATCTCAATTCTACTTTTAAGAAACAATTTTAAGAATAAAATCTATTCCTTCTAACTATGGTGGGAGGAAGTGGTATATTTCTTTAAAGAACTGCTAATAATTTTGAGAAGACATATTGCTCCAAAGAACCTCTCTGCATTTCCAGTAACTTAACATTTTCATATTTATCATATTTTCATATTTTATACTAGTTAACCTATTAATCTGTGAATTGCAGAATCCATGGAATCCTAGATGGAATGTTTTATAATGACAAAAAGTAAGATAACTGTGCTTTAAATAAAATCATAGGGCAGAAAAAATTCTATTGTATTTTAATATTTCCCAATATCAGATAAAGAAATGCAGACAACATTCTAAAAAATAATGTTAAGGCCAGGCGCGGTGGCTCATGCCTGCAACCCCAGCACTCTGGGAGGCTGAGGCAGGAGGATCACTTGAGGCCAGGAATTCAAGACCAGTATGGGCAACAGGGTGAGACCCTGCCTCTGCAAAAAATACAAAAATTAGCTGGGCATGATGGTGCATGCCTGTGGTTCCAGCTACTTGGGAGGCTGAGATGGGGGGATCACGTGAGCCCAGGAGTTCGAGGTTACAGTGAGCTAGGATTGTGCCACTGCAATCCAGCCTGGGGTGACACAGAGACCCTGTCTCTAAAAATAATAATAATAATAAATAGTGTTAAATATCATTCTATATATCTATTTCTAAGAACTCATACCAAATAAAAAAGATGAGTTCTGGCAAAAGTTTATAAAGTGATTTGAGTTGCTTGTTTAGATCTAAAATTCTTTCAACTGGCATTAGAGATGGAAAAAGCATACAGTCCTCATTTTTTGACAACCACTTTTTTTTTAAACTTTACTGACATACAATTTTACTGATATGCAACTTAAATATCATAAAGTCCACCAATTTAAAGTGTACAATTCAATGATTTTTAGTATATTTAGAGTTGTGCCACTATCACTATAATCTAATTTTAGAGCATTTTCATTATCTCAAGAAGAATTTCTGTGTCCATTACCAGTCACTCTCCATCCTCCCCACATTCCAACTTCCTCCTTTGCTCCTCAAATTCAACCTTAGGGAACCATTAATCTTTCTCTCTTTATAAATTTTTAAGGAGTTTACAGTTTATGACTATATTGTTCTTCATTTCCCAATAAAAATATACTAAGTTCTCTCTAATTTGACCCTAAAATAACAAGATTTCTACAAATAAAATAAGCCTTAATGTGAATTTTGCATTTAAAATCCGTTGATTCCATTATACGTTTGCAAGCATCAGTTTATCATTAGCTCTATTTTTATTAGGTTAATTAAAAAATCTTGGAGCTATCTTTATTCACATTTTTATTCTTGCTTTCTTACTCTTCATACATGTTAGGTGTTAACTTTTTTTTATCTTTTTGTGTCCCACAGAACTTCACACTAGGGTCACTTAAACATGGTAATTTTTCAATAAATATGTTGAAGGTGTAGAACAAGTATGTGTATACTCAGTATAGAACAATAAACACAATCAAATGCAATTACACAGAACTAGAGTTACAAATGAATGAAATGGAAGACAAAGACATGCAAGAAAATGAGATGCAGAGGTCACATATTACCAACAATCTGAACAAGATAATGACTTGAAGACATCAAGTTTAATAATGTTAAATTGTTCATTTGGTTTGAGTGCTTTTATTTTGTTTGGGAATTCTATAATGTTCTTATACAGATAGGGTGATACCGCTTACCAATAAAAATATCATAAGTCATAAAACACTGACTCAAGAAATTCTTGCCGGGTGAGGTGGCTCACGCCTATAATCCCAGCACTTTGGGAGACTGAGGCAGGCAGATCACCTGAGGTCAGGAGTTCAAGACCAGCCTGGCCAACATGGTGAAACCCTGTCTCTACTAAAAATACAAAAATTAGCTGGGCGTGGTGGCAGGCGCCTGTAATCCCAGCAACTGAGGAGGCTGAGGCAGGAGAATCGCTTGAACCTGGGAGGCGGAGGTTGCAATGAGCTGAGATGGTGCCATCACACTCCAGCCTGGGGGACAAGAGCAAGACTTCATCTCAAAAAAAAGAAATTCTTGGTATGCTAGTGCTTAAGCCTTAACACCAGGACTACTTTCTTCAAAAAGGAATTTCCCTGATTTTGACTGGGAGATTCCAAGTAAGGAAAATCAACTCTAAATAGAAGGAAAGTATCTAAGGTATCTTCAAATTGCTTACAAATATACTCTACAGTGCTTTGATTACTAGTTTATAGTACAATTTTACTGAGAAAAACTTTCTGAGAATTGATGGTGACGGGAAGGACCGTGAGTATTAGTATGACTGTTGATGTCATTTATGATGCATAATGATAATAATGTAGAAGACAACATGGTACAATTGGTCTCCAGTATATATGGGGTTCACATTTTAAAAACTCACCTCTAAGTCAGTTGTAAGAACAGTAAAACACATTTCCTCATATATATATGTATATATATATATATATATGTATATATATGTATATATATGTATATATATGTGTGTGTATATATATATGTATATATATATATATGTGTATATATATATATACACACATATATTAGAAATGGTATTAAAGTTCTCAGTTGCCCTAAAAGACCCATTTAGCCCACTAATGTAGTACAAACACACATACACAGAAAAGAACAAAAGATAATATAAAATCTTTCATTAAAAGATTATACTCAGATTTATTAAGATTGTATTATTAAGGATATAAGAGATTATATTAAGATTTAATGAAAAGAAATATAAAGATATATTTAAGCAAAAGAACACAGCAGAAACAAGAAATATAACTGTTTTTCATCATTATAATACTTACAGTAAAACAAAAACAGTAAAAAAAAATTAGGCCAAGGCAGGCAGATCACTTGAGGCCAGGAGTTTGAGACCAGCCTGGCCAACATGGCAAAACCCCACCTCTACTAAAAACACGAAAATTATCTGGGTGTGGTGGCACACATCTTTTTTTTATTTTAATTTTTATTTTTGAGTTGGAGTCTTGCTCTGTCACCAGGCTGGAGTGCAGTGACGCGATCTCGGCTCACTGCAAGTTCCGCCTCCCGGGTTCGCGCCATTCTCCTGTCTCAGCCTCCTCAGTAGCTGGGACCACAGGTGCCCGCCACTAGGCCCGGCTAATTTTTTGTACTTTTAGTAGAGACAGGGTTTCACCATGTTAGCCAGATGGTCTCGATCTCCTGACCTCGTGATCCGCCCACCTCGGCCTCCCATAGTGCTGGGATTACAGGCGTGAGCCACCACGCCCGGACAGTGGCACACATCTTTAATCCCAGCTACTTGGAACGCTGAGGCACAACAATCTATTGAACCCGGGAGGCAGAGGTTGCAGTAAGCAGTGAGCCAAGATCGTGCCACTGCACTACAGCCTAGGCAACTGAGTGAGACTCTGTTTCAAAAAAAAAAAAAAAGGAAATTACTATTTTTTCTTGGTGATGAATATCAATGACTGCAGAAAAGCAGGGTGAATTAGAAGAAACACACTCATTAATTCATTCGAAAAATATTCATGAACACTTCCTTTGAAGAAACATGTATTAAAAACCTATAATCTGCATAGGCACTGAGAATACATAATATCTACTGGGAAGATCTAATAGTCTACTGAGGAAGACAGGCAAATTTAAAAATTACTGTAGTATGCTAAATGCTAAGAAAAGGCATACCACTAAGGAATAAAAACTATACTAACTAATCTGGTGAAGAAGCAGAGAAACAGCATTTTAGGTAGAGGGAAATGCCTATGTAGAGGATGAAGTGCTAGGGAAAATTCTAAGTAGTAGAGTATAGATCAATAATATATGGTGCATGGTGAGGGTTGAAGCTAGAGAGATATAGGCAGAGATATTTTATGAAAAGCCTTGTATGTTTGGATTTTATCCTGAAGTTGGTTAGACATAACACGATCTGGCCCGCACTTTAGAAAGAGTGCTCTATCAGTAGTGTGCAGGATGGCCTGCAGAAGGAAGAAGACTACAGTCATTTAGAAGGTTATGATCATAATCTAGACCAGTGGTCTTTAAAAGTAGTTATGTGCAAAATTATTTCTTGAACTGTGGGAACTTTTACTTACATTTATTTTAATGTTAAATTATCTTAAGTTTTCATTTGCTGTGTAGGTTTTATATCATTATGTGCATACTATTCATATGATAGCACATGCGTACATAATCTATAAATAAATATGAATACATATGCATATATTGCTGAGTGTGTACTCAAATTTTTTCCCAATAAAAATTCGTATCAAAAAGTTTGGAGACCACTGGTCTAGGTCAGCTTTGTCCAATGGAAATATAATGCAAGCCACATATGCAATTTAAAATTTTCTAGTAGCCACATTAATAAACAGTACAAAGCCCTTACCTCATATGATACCAAAAAATTAATTAGAATGGATCAAAGACCTAAATACAGAAGCTAAAACTATAAACTTTTAGAAGAAAACATATGAGTAAATCCTCACAAAATTAGATTTAGCAAAAGATTCTCAGGGCAGCAAAAGCATAAGTAACAAAAAAAATTGGATAAACTGGACTGCATCAAAATTTTAAAATTCTGGGCTTCAAAATGCACCATTAAGAAAGTAAAAAGATTTTAACCATTTCAGTTTTGTCATGAAAAAGAAAAACAGGGCCGGGTGCGGTGGCTCATGCCTATAATCCCAGCACTTTGGGAGGCTGAGGTGGGCAGATCACTTGAGGTCAGGAGTTCGAGACCAGCCTGGCCAACATGGTGAAACCCCGTCTCTCCTAAAAATACAAAAATTAGCTGGGTGTGGTGGCAGGCGCCTGTAATCCCAGCTACTTAGGAGGCTGAGGCAGGAGAATCACTTGAACCCGGGAGGCGGAGCTTGCAGTGAGCTGAGATTCCACCACTGCACTCCAGCCTGGGCAACAGAGACTCCGTCTCAAAAAAAAAAAAAAAAAAAAAGAGAGAGAAAGAAAAAAGGAAAAAAACAGTGAAAAGACAATCTGCAGAATGGAAGAAAAAATTTCTTATCACATATCAGTTAAGAGACTTGAATCCAGAAAATATAAAAACCTGTTACAGTTCAACAATAAATACCTGGTACAAAGGAGGTACTTAGAAATTATCTATTGAATGAATGAATTCCTGTTCATTCATATCTCCTGTTTCTTCATAACCCAACCAATACTGAGCATTGTCAATCTTTGGAAGTTTTGCTAACCTTATAGATAAACATAAAATCCTGTTTTAAATTAAATTTATTTGTGAGATTAAGCATTGTTTCATGTTTGTCAGACATCTGTATTTCTTACATAGTGAACTGATGTCTATATCCTGTTCCCACTCACTTTCAAATCTGACCTTCATGGTTAGTTTTACTCTATCTCTAAATTATTTAAAAATATCAAGACCCTCTATAATCTCACTGGAACTAACCTTATTTGCCCTTCATGTCTACTCTACTTAACGTCTCACAAATATGTTTTCTGTATTCCTTCCACTGCCTTTTCTTGGTCCTCCAGTCTGAAGATTTTCTTTAAAGGCTCCCGTCGAGTTCCACTTCCTCCATTTTTGACTGTGCCAGCCTTCACAGATCTCTATTCCTCTGACTGACATAGCCTAACCCAACATATGATATAGTACTAAAGTTTATATATTCTTTCATGTATGTTAATCATTTCTCCCTAAACAGATGCAACTCATAAAATGACAGGAGTCTTATCCCCTGTGGTATCTAACTGTAGAGCTTATCAGAGTAGGTACTTAATAAATCTTCTTTTTTTTTTTTCTGGCAGGGTCTCACTCTATTGCCCAGGCCAGGAAGTGCAATGGTGCAAACATGGCTACTGCAGTCTTGACCTCCTGCGCTCAAGTGACCCAGCTCATCCTCCCACATAGCTGGGACCACAGGTGCATTAGGGTGATTGGCTCATTTTTAAAATTTTTGTAGAGGCTGTGTTTCACATTGTTACCCAGGCTAGTCTCAAACTCCTGGGCTCAGGTGATCCTTCCACCTCAGCCTCCTACAGTGCTGGGATTATAGGCGTGAGACATGTGCATAGCGATAAGTACCTCTGGACTGATCTTGTTGTAAGTGCATTTTGTTCAAATGAACACACTGTTAGAAACCATACTCCGAAGTTGCAGCACCTCAACATTAAGGTACACCTATTGCCAATAATGGGCAATTAAAGAAAAAAAATAAAGTACAACTAATGCTCAGTATTAAGCATTGAACTAGCAATTAAAAAGTGCACAAAGAAGAAGGCAAATGTCTTAGATACCAATTCACCACTTCTATATTCAACCTCCTAAAACTTTAAGTGGGCATATTGCTTTGGTGAGTGATTTGGTGCTATAGGTGGATCCTCTTTAGAAGTCTGGGATCTTACAAGTGGGAAGAAAGAAGAGTGTTTAAATGAAATTCAAAACAAGACAAATGAAGAACTGCTCAACTACAGCTGAGTTTATGCCTCCTTAACACAATAAACATACAATGAAAACAAGTCCTAAGATCTTTATTTAAAAAAATTTTTTTTTGAGTTAGAGTTTCGCTCTTGTCGCCCAAGCTGGAGTGCAATGGCGTGACCTGGGCTGACTGCAACCTCTGCCTCCCAGGTTCAAGCAATTCTCCTGCCTCAGTCTCTGGAACAGCTGGGATTACAGGCGCCCACCACTATGCCAACTAATTTTTGTCTTTTTAGTAGAGGTGGGGTTTTGCCATGTTGGCCAGGCTAGTCTCGAACTCCTGACCTCAGGTGATTCACCTGCCTCAGCATCCCAAAGTGCTGGGATTATAGGCGTGAGCCACCGTGCCTGGCCCTGCTAAGATCTTCAAGAAGAATAACTATAAACATGGTCAGGAAAAATGACTCTTGCTAAATGTTATTTTTGGTGTAGAATGTACTGAATTTCTCAAGAAAGCAATGCTTTTTATAAGCTATCTATTGGGACACTTAAATAGATACAATACTTCTTTGTAATTAATACATTAATTGCTTAAATGATTTTCACTTATACCAAGATTAAGTTTGATATCAGCTAGAAACTACCACCACCAGTATATTGGTTGTACACCTAAATATTAAACCAAAATTTCACCTGTTACTTGGTCAAATTAGTATTCCTCCAAGGGTTATCTTTTAGCTCTCTTAGCACTTCTTGATGCCAAATACAGGTTATTGGTTTTGGCTCTGTCCATGGCAGTCTGTATTTCTGATTACTACATACAATTTCCTAACATTTTTAGCCTAGCAAATGTGGACATGACAGAGTTTTGTTTATATCTGAGATATCAAAGCACAATGGAGGATTGACGCTCTGTTCTGGGTTCTTCAGTATTGGTACGGTGTCTTACTATTACCAAAACTCGAAATGAGCAAGAATATGTGAGGCATGCTTATTAGCTATATTAGTTATTTGATCTTTCTCAGTTTTCAGTAGATCAGAGTCCTGTCTCTACTAGCATGGCATCAAAGATGGTTGCAAAGAAGGGGACATGTGCCAGAAGGATCCCACTTTCAAAAAGCTTAAGGCTGGTCCTTATACTATCTACTCAGCTGGAAATGACTAAGGACTAAACAGTGATCTCATGCTGATTATCTGTAGTTACATGAGACTGTCGCTAGTTTCTTCTATAGGCTTACACTTCCAAATTTATCATGAATAGAAAAGCAGCAACTTTTTAAAGAACTATTCCTAAAGCCATCCCAAATGAAATGAGTACAAGTTTCCCCAAGGACAAAAATGAGAACTCATATATATGAGAATAAAGGAAAGGAAAACATGTTTGTCATACACAAAATTTTGCTAGTTTCCTCTGCTTTATTTTTTTTTATTATGAAGTTCAGTAAACTGAAAGTTTTAACTTAAAGCTTTTTATAAAACGAGAGAAACTATAGTACGCAGTAATCTCACAATTTGAAAGGTTTAAGAACGTCAGAACAGTCTCCACATTCAGATTAGCCAAAACAAACACAGAGGCATATACAAAGACCATGTTAGTGCCTGGGTGTCACCATTTAGTGTGGCAGGTTAAAGGGCTTAACCAAAACATGTAACTAGAAAATCATGTTTGCTATTTTCAAAACAATCACAACTGAAAGGAAAACATTACTTCAGATTTTCAAGTTTAGTCAAGGAGAGCCCATTTTATTTTAATCTACTTTAATTGTATAAGCCCTTGTAACTTTCTATAATTGTGTCCCAGAAAGAGTTTTAAAAAATAGGCTGGGTGTGGTGACTCATGCCTATAATTCCAGGACTTTGGGAGGCTGAGGTGGGATGATTGCTTGAGGCCAGGAGCTCCAGACCAGCCTGGGCAACACAGCAAGACCCTGTCTCTACAAAAAAATAAAAAATAAAAAAATTAGCCAGGTACAGCGTGCATGCCTAGCTACTCAGGAAGATAGAAAGGAGGATCACTTCAGCCCAGGAGTTTGAGATGAGAGTGAACTATGATGGTGCCACTGCATTCCGACCTGAGTAACAGAGTGAGACTCTTAAAAATGGACTGATACTAAAGAAAGTTTCATGTTTGGGGGGTATCCCTGCTAATTATTTCAAGAGGCTTCTGTATAATTTTAAAACAATATCGTCTTAAATGAAAACTCAAATTGTGCCTAGTAAAAGATTTCAGAACCCTGGCTTTTCCTCTAAAATTAACTATGTAATTTACTTTAAGAACAAACACATCAAGGTGTAACGACCTAGCACTTACTAAAGATCTACTCTATGTCAGGAACTTCACATCCATTTTCTCATTTTAATTTTGTGGTATTGCCTGGGTTGCAATAGGCAACTAATGATATTTTTCAGTAACTATACAATTAAGTAATGAAAATATAGCACTCAAAAATGGAAGTACTAAAAATTAACGTTTTGGATAACCATTAAAAATGACCTTTCTGAAGAATATCCAATGACATAAGAAAATGTTTACAATGGAATTCTATGACAATAAATTAAACTATTAAATTACAAGCAATAATATCTTAAATAAGAAAGTATATATATATATCTGTATACATTTCCGAGTGGTTATTTTGGATGGTAGGATTACCAGTAATTTTCCAATTTTATGAAATAAACATGGCTTGGTGTGGTGGCTCATGCCTGTAATCCTTGTAGTTTGGGAGGCCGTGGTGGGCAGATTGCCTGAGCTTAGGAGTTTGAGATCACTCGAGACCAGCCTGGACAATATGGTGAAACCCTGTCTCTACTAAAATACAAACAATTAGCCAGGCGTGGTGGCATGCACCTGTAGTCCCAGCTACTTGGGAGGCTGAGGCAGGAGAATTGCTTGAACCTGAGAGGCAGAGGTTATAGTGAGCCGAGATCATGCCACTGCACTCCAGCCTGGGTGACAGAGTGAGTGAGACTCCAACTCCAAAAAATAAAAATAAAAATAAAATAAAATAAACATTACTGTTATAACAAATCAGAAATCTCCTTCCAATTAAATGCTACCCTAAAATATCTAATTCTGGTTGTTGAACATATAAGATTTTAAATCAAATTTAATATGAATGGAATCTATTGTGTAGTAGTTGGAAAATAGGTTCCTTTGAAACTTTAATATATTTTGGTATAGGCTGATGTACAATGAAAACTTTATTTTGCATATAGTTCATTTACTGTTTTGACTGAGTTGTTTTATCATTCGCCTTAAGTTTCCACTGATTTTTTTTTTCTTTTCTTTTTTTGAGAGATGGGAGTCTCTCTATGTTGCCCAGACTGGAGTGCAGTGACTAGTCACAGGTGCAATTATAGTGTACTACAGCTTCAAACTGCTGGTCTCAAGTGATCCTTCTGCCTCAGGCTCCCCAGAAGCTGGGATTACAGGTACATGCCAGTGCGTCTGGCTCCAATCCTTTAATTTCAAATGTGAAGGATTACATATAATTCTCTCAAAGGTTATACTGCTTTTATCTTAAATAAACATAAAAAGAGCGCAAAGCCACCGCTTTCTTTACAAATATCCATTATGAACTCAAATGTGGACTTTGCAAACTTCAGAAATGTATCAGACCCTAACCTGGGATCTTTAGTGCCATTGATCAATTTTGTGCATACAGTAAGCACTCAATAAAAGTTGTTGAATGCATGAAGGAATGCATAAATGTTCTCTTTGGATATCTAGCCTTACTTTCCCGTCATTCAGCTTAGATGACCTGAGAAGCACTTCCTCAAAATAACCCTCTGGCTCACCATGAGAAGAATGCCTGGCACCAGCTGGCAGGAGATATTAATAGCATGCCCATTAGGCACATGTTCAAGGCACATAGATAGCTCAGTGATAGAATCTTTAGAATATTTGGACAGTTAACATTATTTCGAGTATGAATCAGTTGTGGTTCCTTAAATCCTCACTTTAAATATTAAAAACCAACCTCTATTTTTAAAAATTCTTAAAAAAATAGTAATGTGCAACAGCAATAATTGTTTGTGATTCTGAAGAACTCAGCATTTGGGGCTAAGAAAAGCAAAGTTCTAACAGCAGAATTCTTTCTTTTCTGTTTTTCTTTTTTTGGAGACAGAGTCTTACTCTGTCACCCAGGCTGAAGAGTAAGTGGACAATCACGGTTCACTGCTGCCTCGACCTCTTGAGCTCAGGTAATCCTCCCACCTCAGCCTCCTGAGCAGGGTAGCTGGGACTACAGGCAGATGTCCCCATGCCCAGCTAAGTTTTTGTATTTTTTGTAGAGATGGGGTTTTGCCATGTTGCCCAGGCTGTTCTCAAACTCCTGGACTCAAGCAATTTGCCTGCATTGGCCTCTCAAAGTGTTGGGAATACAGGTGTGAGTCACTGCACCCAGCCCTATTTTTTCTTGTAACAAAGATTCTTTTGAAGGATTCAGAGGCCAAAATAGAGAAAAGAATATGACCTTTCCCTTTAAATTTCAAGTTTTAGTATTTTACCTATCATTTACTACTGATAAGTCTCTTACCCACAAAACTATGTTCTATTCTTCCTTAGGCAACATTGGACTAAGAAACAGATATGCTGAAAATTACAAAATATCCTAGGTTACCCATTGTGACTTTTAGAGGAAATGGGAATGGGACTGATTTTTTAAAAATACATAATTCTGAAATATCTGAATCCTCACCAGACAGAATTAAACATTCCAGCTACAAATATATACTTTCTATTCAGCTCGCCTTGATCAAAATTTGGCATATATTTAGTTTAACTGGTAAGAGCCATAAGTTCTAACTATCCTTTTCTTGCTTTCTATAAAGTGCTCTATATTCTACATCACTTTATTTTTTTATTCACCACTATATTAATGAGGATACATCATTTTAGATAGCCATATAGATGTTCTATTTTCTGAGTCATTTTCTTAGTGTACAATGTCTCTAAATGTCTAAATCAGTTCACATAAAAAAAAGCAACTCTGAATTCTCAAACGCTCTGATGAAGAAACAATTTTACTAGGTATCCTGCACTGAGTTAGATAGAGAAAGTGAAAAATAAACAAGAATAAGATGTAGTTGGCACGGCGTGGTAGCTCATGCCTGTAATCCCAGCACTTTGGGAGGCCGAGGTGGGTGGATCACTTGAGGTCAGGAGTTTGAGACCAGCCTGGCCAATACAGTGAAACCCTGTCGCTATTAAAAATACAAAAATTAGCCAGGCATGGTGGCACATGCCTGTAATCCCAGCTACTCGGGAGGCTGAGACAGGAGAATTGCTTGAACCTGGGAGGTGGAGGTTGCAGTGAGCTGAGATCGTGCCACTGCCTCTAGCCTGGGTGACACAGTGAGTCTCTGTCTCAAAAAAAAAAAAAAAAGATGTAGTTGCTAGACTGGGCATGGTGGATCTCTCCTGTGTTTCCAGCACTTTGGAAGGCCGAGGCAGGTGGATCACTTGAGGCCAAGGCCAGGAGTTCAAGACCAGCCTGACCAACATGGTGAAACCCCATCTCTACTAAAAATACAAAAATTAGCAGGGTGTGGTGGTGCACGCCTGTAGTCCCAGCTACTTGGGAGACTGAGGCAGGAGAACTGCTTGAACCTGGAAGGTGGAGGTTGCAGTGAGCTGAGACTGTGCCATTGCACTCCAGGCCTGGGTGACAGAATGAGACTCCATCTCAAAAAAAAAAAAAAAAAAAAATAGGTAGTTGCTGACCTCGAAGAACTTTCCATCTAGATGGGTAAATTACACAGGAAATGATAGCTAATGAGATAAGAGAAATGCTCTGCTGTGTGGTACAGAGAAAACAGTTGCTTTATAGGCAGAGAAATAGGTATATCCACTGCACTTTGGGTAGAGAGGCAAATAAGGCTGGAGAGATAGAGCTACATTATAGAGGCGCGTGGAAGTCTGAAAGAAACATTTAGATTTGATGGATTTGATGTGGTAGTGAATGGGGCCGTGAGATGTTTTTGCAAAGCAGGATAAATTTTCGTGCAAGAGAGGAGTTAGGAATAAAAATCAGGCAGGTCAACTGGAAACCTGATTAATGTAGGTATAATTTTCTGTTAGCATACAGTTGTCTGTTGGTATCCACGGGATGCATGGTTCCAGTGTACATTCTCCACCTCCTGTGGATACCAAAATCCATGAGTGCTCAAGTCCCTTACATACAATTGGTATAATATTTGCATACAACCTACGCATATCCTCCCATATACTTTAAATCATCTCTAGATTACTTATAATACCTAACAAAATGTAAATGCTATGTGAATAACTGTATTAAGGAATAATGACAAGAAAAAAAGTCGGCACATACTCAGCATAGATGCAATCATCCATTCTTTTCGCGAATATTTTTGATAAGCGGTTGGTTGAATTCACACATGTGAAACCCATGGATATAGAGGGCTGACTGTACTTTTAAACATTATCTCACAAGATAACTAGTGGGTCTTCTAAATATTCTCTTGGTTTTGTAAAGCCTTTCATAGTTTCAATTACAATATATGCATTAATTCCAAATCACTCTCCCTAACATGTATGTGAAGGAATGTAGGCAGTTGAATAAAAATGAGAGAAAGAAAAAAAAAAAGCACAATGAATTTTAATCTGAATATTCTTGATACAAAGCATTTGTAGCTCATCTGAAATTAATGTGAAAATAAAAACAAGGTCCTTATCATCGAATCTAATTCTACATAAATTCTTATGCACACTTCTACAAACCACTAAATTTATTTAAATATATATGAAATACATGATTATTAGTGTTTTATTTTGTGAGAAATTTAATATTTATGCAGAGTAAGAATAAAGGACTTTGTCACTGAACTCAGCACATTATCAGAAAGCACAAATGTAATTACATTCATCTTGAGTAGATAAATAAAATAAATATATATTGATTTTACCTTTGCTTTAGTCGTCTTTTGGCTGTTGTGGGAACATTAGCACCATAGCCGTAGGAAAAAAGAACCCTTTCAGCCTCATCTTCATTTTCAACTGGAAAATATTAAAGTGTATAATGTGAAATAACTTTATTTTTCCTTTAAAAAAGATGGCAGAAGTGAAAATAAAGGAGGTTATAACAAATTAGGGAGGATAAAAACATTAGAAAGGGCTAATATGTAATCTTAAACAGCCCATTTGTAAGTAGAAACATATTTCTTAAAGTATATCCTTGCTTGAATTTGCTCCATTTATTTTTGAAATGTATAAGGGATTGCATCATATCATGTTAGGTTTTCTTGTTAAAAAGTATAATAATACATGTATTATTCTGAAGGACTCAAAGGCTTTTTGCATGAAATATGCTATGTAATATAACAAATAATGATAACATATCAAAGTCATCAATTCTGTTCTTGATAAATGATTTTTAAATTAGGACAAATATTATTTTATCAGAACAACTTTATTTTAATTTGCAACAATAAAATTATGTACTTATGTAGGTTACTCTATTAAAAACTGTGCAGCTCTAAGCATGTATTGATGGCCTTACTTTTTTTAAATGTAAAAAAATTATGTGAAAATAATTTACTTTTAAATTCTGCTATTGTCACACTACTTCCCAAAAGGAATTTTAACTAACAGGTTAACATCTTCTGGGTAAAAAACTTGAAATGCAATGACATTTTACTGCAAGTTGGGATTAAAAAAATATATATATATATATATTTTTTGAGATGGAGTTTCGCTCTTGTTGCCCAGGCTGGAGTGTAATGGCGTGATCTCTGCTCACAGCGACCTCTGCCTCCCAGGTTCAAGCGATTCTCCTGCCTCAGCCTCCCCAGTAGCTGGGATTGCAGGTGCCCACCACCAAGCCCGGCTAATTTTTTTTGTATTTTTAGTAGAGACAGGGTTTCGCCATGTTGGCCAGGCTGGTCTCAAACTCCCAACCTCAGGTGATCTGCCTGCCTCAGCCTCCCAAAGTGCTGGGATTACACGTGTGAGCCACCGCACCTGGCCAAAAAACATTTCATCATCAAAAAAAACCCCCAAAACACCAAAAAAAGTATTTCATCAAAGGCTATAGTTTTAATAGCTCAAGTAAAAGCAGTCATTGACATATAAAAACTTTCATAATATTATTTATCACCAGCCATTATTTTAATGTTAAAAAGATATTCACTTTCAGGAATATTTCAGAATTAAAACAAAGCCACATATTTTACAACCATCATGATGTTTCATCTTCTGCATGCCTATCAATGTAATAGGGATACATTTGTTGATTGGCCCTTCTGTAGTAAAGATTTTAGAAACATTTATTAACTGTTTTCTTTTAATTTTGTCCCTATCTTTCATGGTGAATCAGGATTAGCTTTCTGAGGAAGAATTATTAGTTGAGAGAGACACATGGAAGAGATGATACATGCCATTACCAATACTATGATCAGCTAGCAGGTAAGTCCAGATCCAAGATGAGTTCTCCAAATAAGCTCTACTGGAACTAGAGCTAACATTTAGATATGTAACTGACTCTTGTTTCTCCTTAATAGTTCTAAATTCAGAGGAGAGAGGGGTAAATTTAGTTCACATCTCAAAAACCCATAAGTTAGATATTAATGGACATGCTAAATGTGAGTTTAATACTTAATGGATTAATAAATCATGGGATAACTATTCTAGCAGGGATTAATTACAGAAACAATGTATTATACAACTTGGTCAATGCTACTAAAGGGATCTGAACAATGCTATTAAAGAGATCTGAACAATGTGTCTTAGAAGCAGAGCGCAGGGCAACTGCATCTGAGTGCCACTATTTCCCATGCTACAAGGTATAGGGTAGATATGGGGAGACTGAGATTCAGTGAAGGAATAGGAGAGAAGTCCATGTGCAGAAGCATAGACTTGTAAGGTATGTGAAGTTTTAATCCACAGGATTAAGTCCCTTATATAAAATGGTATATATATATATATCTGCATATAACATATCTACACCTTCACATACACTTTAAACCATGTCTGCATCACTTACAATACCTAACACAATGTACATGCTATATATAATAGTTGTTATATTGTATTTTTAAAAATGTATTATTTTTTATTATTGTCTTTTCCCCAATATTTTCAATCCACAGGTGATTAAATCTGAGATGCAGTATCTGCTAATAGAGAGAGCAACTGTACAGAAAAATTAGGAAGTTTCAGGGAAGAAAGAGGAAATGCAAATAATGTTAAATTTTCAGCTGTGCATGGTGGCTTATGCCTATAATCCCAGCGTTTTGGGAGGCCCAGGCAGGGGGATCCCTTGAGGCCAGGAGTTTGAGATCACTCTAGGCAACATAGTGAGACCGTGTCTCTACAAAAAATAATTAGTTGGGCATGATGGCATGTGTCTGTAGTCTCAGCTACTTGGGAGGATGAGGCAGGGGGAATCACTTGAGCCCAGGAGTTTGAGACTGCAGTGAGCTATGATTGTACCACTGCACTCCAGCCTGGGCAACACAGTGAGACCCTGTGTCTAACTATAGAAATTACTAGCCTATTGATAGTAACTGAAGTTGCGGAAAGGGAAAAGATTATCCAGAAGTTAAGTGATGGAAAATAAACAAAGGCAGGTGATTCAAGAAGCAAAGAGAAGGGAGTTCTGAGAAATTCGACAAATGCCTAGTGAAGGTTATAAGTATGATGAGGATGTGTGGCAGGTAACTGAATTTAACAACTAGAAATCTAGGTTGTTTTTTTTTTCTAATATGAGTTTATTTAGCTTTTAGACAATACTTATACTTTTAACAACTTGATGAAATCTTTGAAAACTAAACTCAAATATCCAAATAATACTTATTTGATTACAGAAAGCAATACAAGTATAAATAAGATACTTTAATTTGCTATGGTTACACCTTAATAAATGAAGGCTAATCACCTTCATGTCGGCTAAAATTACCCGAATTAAATGGCAAGCCTTTGAAAATTGTATACAATGTAGTACTAAAAATAGTCTGTTGAAAAAAGTCAGCCGAAATTACCTGAATTAAATGGCAAGCCTTTGAAAATTGTACACAATGTAGTACTAAAAAAAGTCTGTGCTCACTTCTTTGAAATTTTAGTTAATCGATAAGTATTCATTAAATAAGGACAAGGTATATTTTAATTTCCAATGTGAACTGATAGAGAACCTAGTTACTGATCTTCTAGTACAGGTAAATCTATTTTATTTGAAGTTGGTTTAGATAGTATCATAACAAAAATTAATTTCTATTTTTCTGCAGCTTTTAAGAAAATATTTATACATGTGGACACACTGAAAAAATGTACAGTATACATCCATATACTCAACATCTGCAATTTTTTTTTTTTTTGAGACAGAGTCTCATTCTGTCACCCAGACTGGAGTGCAGTGGCGTGAACACAGTCACTGCAGCCTTGACGTTCAGGGCTCAGGCGATCATCCCACCTCACCCTCCCATGTAGCTGGCACCACCATGCCTGGTTCATTTTTTATTTTTTTGTAGAGATGGTCTTGCCAGGTTGCCCCGGCTGGCCTTGAACTTCTGGGCTCAAGCAATCGTCCTGCCTTGGTCTCCCAAAATGCTGGGGTTAAAGGCATGAGCCACTGTGCCTGGCTCCAACATCTGGATTCTAAATCAAACATACTATGTGTTTATTATACATATATCCACCCGTTTCCATGAATGTTTTTTTGATGCATTTCAAAGAAAGTTGTGGACATTTGCACACTTCACTCCTCAACAGTTTAACATGCAAATCATCAATTATAATTCAATATGTATTTACAGTTATTTTCTAAAAAATAAGATTTGTAACTTTCACCATGTATAAATTTTATTTTTATTTTTTAAGTCTACCATTCAACGAGTTTTGAAATGTAAAAGTTTTGAAATGTACAGACATGTGTTTAACACAAACCCTATCAAGATATATAGAACATCTGAATACCCTGGAAAGTTCCATGTCACTTTTCTCAGTTAATTTTTGGTGACAATCATCTTTAGAGACAACTACAGTTCTGATTTTTGTCTTTTTAAAAATAAAAAAAAAAATTTTTACCCCCACCCCTTGATTTTTTTCATCATAGATTACTTCTGTCTCTTCTAGAACTTTATATAATCATATAGTATAATCATACTATATACTATAATCATACAGTATAATCATACTATATACTATAATCATATAGTATAATCATACCATATACTATAATCATATAGTATAATCATACCACATACTATAATCATACAGTATAATCATACTATATTATATAAAGTACACTTTATGTTTTTCAGATTCATCCATGTTGTTAAGTAAGTCAATTGTTTCCTTCCAGTGAGGAGAAGTATTCTACTACATGAATGTATAATGGTTTGATTAACCATTTTCCTTTGAGATACACACCTGGGCTGTTGTCAGTTTTTGACTATTATGAATACATTTCCTATGAACATTCTAGAGGAAATCTTTTAAGGTGCATATGCTTTCTTCTCTCTTGGGTAAGTAACGGAAATGCTGGATCACTGATTAGGTTGTTTAATTATTTTGTAAGAAACTGCCAGTTGCTCCACTTCTCACCAACATTTGGTATAGTCAGTCTTTCTAATTTCAGCCATTCTTGTGGGTATACAGTGGTATCTCACTGGGCTTTTAATCTGCTTTTCCCTCATGACTAGTAATGTTGAATACTTTTATTATGCTTACTTGTCATTCACATGTCTTCCTTTGTGAAGTGTTTAAACCTTTTGCCCATGTTTTAAACAGGACTATTTTTTTTTTAATCACTGAGTTACATGAATTTTTAAATATATATTCTGGTACATTAATTTCCTACTGCTAACGTTAACAGATTGCCAGACTTTATGGTTTAAACAATACAAATTTATTATTTTATAGCTCTACAGGTAGTAAGTCCAAAAATCAGCCTCACTGACCTGAAGTCAATGCTTTGTAGGGCTGGTTCTGTGTGAAGGCTCTATGGTGAAATCTGTTTCCTTGCCTTTTCCAGCTTTTTCAGAGGTTCCAAAGATGAGGACATGGACATCTTTCTTTTCTTTTCTCTTTTCTTTCCTTCCTTCCTTTTCCTTTCTCTTTCCTTCCTTCCTTCCTTCTTCCCTTCCTTTCTTTCCTTCTCTCTTTCTCTTTTTTTCTAGAGATGGGGTCTCACCATGTCAGGCTAATCTTGAACTCCTGAGCTCAAGTGATCCACCTGCCTCAGCCTCCCAAAGTGTTGGAATTACAGGCATGAGTCACTATGCCCAACAGGACATGGACATCTCTAGAAGGATGTTTTTCAGCCCACCACATTTGGGTATCATTTTCTTTTGTTTAATCTATGTTTTGTGAATATTTTCTCCTCAATATTTTCTTATTTTGGGTATCATTCTTTTGTCAGATATAAAATTGTGGTTATTTTCTTTGAGTCTGTGGCTTGGCTATTCATTTCTTAATGGTGTCTTTTGAAGAACAGAAGTTTTAAATTTTGATGACATCTACTTTATCAGTTTTTCTTTTATGATAATTACATTCAAGGGCCATGTCAAAAAAAGTCTTAATGTACTCCACGTTGTAAAGATAACTCACCTATGTTTTCTGTTACATATTTATAGTTTTAGCTATTCCATTTAGGTATCGTCTCAGATTAATATTGGTGTATGGAAGTTTACTTCCATAAAGATGTCCAATTTTTTTTTAGCACCATTTATTGAACAAACTTTCCTTTCTCCATTTGTTTGCTTTGCTGCCTTTGTTAAAAATGAAATTATTATTTAAGTATGGATCTGTTTCTGGGTTTTCTAGTCTGTTTCATTGCTGTATTTGTCTTTCCTTAAGCCAGTACTGTATTATCCTGATATTGAAGCTTTATAGTAAATCTTGAAAACAGGTAGTGCAATTCTTCCAATTTGTTCTTTTTTTTGTGGAGGAGAGGAGGTCACGCTATGTTGCCCAGGCTGGAGTGCAGTGGGTATTCACAGGCATGATCATCGCACCCTACAGGCTTTAACCTCTAAGCTCAAGCAATCCTCCTGCCTCAGCCTCCTAGGTAGCTGGGACTGCAGGAGTGCACCACCACACAGGGCTTCAACTTTTTTCAAGATTGCTTTGGATATTCCAGTCCTCTGCACTCCATATGAATGAAATACAAAAAAGCCTCCTGCCACTGTGACTAGAAGAACACTGAATTGATAGAATTCACAATATATTTCGTGATTTTGGGGGGAGTGGTTCTTTAATTTCTCTTAGCAATGATCTGTAGGGTTTTTTGGCTTAAATTTATTCCTAAGTATTTTGTGTTTTTTGTTGCTACTTACTTCTCCAATTGTTTACTTCTAGTATATTTTTGGGTAATGACTATATATTCTGCTATATTCACTTATCAGGTTTAGTAGTTGTTTGGTAATCTGAAAATAGATTCTTACTATTCCTTTCTGATTTTTATATATATCTTCTCTTATCCTTATCTCACAGGTTAGGAATTCAAATACAGCACTTAATATGTCATATAAATCATGAAAATAGGAAACCCTGTTTTACTCTCCCCCTCAATGGGGAAAGTATTCAATATTTCACCATTAAGTACAATTTTAGCTGTTGGTTTTTATAAATGCCCTTTTTCAGATCGAGGAAGTTCCCTTCTATTCCTAATTTGTTTAGACAAAGGGAAATATGCAAAGTTACGGAGGTAAGAAAGAGTATGAAACTTTCAAAACAATAATATGATATGGAGGGGAATGGCAAGATATGAAAGCAGAAAGATAAACATGAGTCTAATCATGAAGTCATGTAAAGAAATTTGACTTTATTGTCTTAATGAAGACAATAAAAGTCATTAAAGCCAGCATATGATATGAAAATTTGAATGTTACAAAGATTACTTTGACTCCAGTGAAGAAATTGAAGATAAATTTAAAATCTATTGCAGTTATCAGACATTGACCTTGGAAATGGGAAATAGGACAATGATAGGAAAGAAATAAGTTTTTCTTACATTTGGCCTACAAGTAAATACAGTCCTTATGCAAAAATGTGCCTAAAATAATTAGAACCCTACCTAGATTCAAATTCAACTTCAACTGAAGTTTAAACCCATTTTTATAAGAATGCCATGGTTATCTGACTTTTGAACACAAATAATGTACTGTAGCAAACATCACAGCCAATGGTGAAATGTTAATTTAAAATATTTATTAACGTTAGGGATAAGACAGGAAGATAACAAGAGGGGAAAACAAGAAAAAAGGAAAACAGAAATTAAAGATCAAAGATTATAACACAGTACCCTCAAATGAATTTTTATTTGTACTTCAAGACTCATTCCAAGGCTGGGCACAGTGGCTCACGTCTGTAATCCCAGCATTTTGGGAGGTCGAGGCGGGCAGATCACCTGAGGTCGGGAGTTTGAGACCGCCTAACCAACATGGAGAAACCCCGTCTCTACTAAAAATACAAAATGAGCTGGGTGTGGTGGCGCATGCCTGTAATCCCAGCTACCCGGAGGCTGAGGCAGAAGAATCGCTTGAAACCGGGAGGCAGAGGTTGAGGTGAGCTGAGATCACACCGTTGCAATCCAGCCTGGGCAACAAGAGTGAAACTCCGTCTCAAAAAAAAAAAAAAGAAAAAAGAAAAGACTAATTGCAGTGTCATCTCCTCTCTTAGATATGCCTCACCTCCTTTAAAGGTGGGATTAATTAATGATCTCTTTTGTATTTCCACTGAGAACTGCATATTTTTTGCTTATAGCATTTATCTTGCTACTCTAATTATTTGTTATTATGTTCACCTCTCTCAGTAGATTAGAAACCCCTTGAGACGGGAATTATTTCCATGAACTCCTAATCCCCAGTTCCTGACAGATGTAAATACTTAACAATTCTGGAGTAAGTGAATTTGATAAAAAATTGAACAGATAAAAGCTATCATATTTAACCTGTTTCTTTTTTGACTGCAATTTCTAAGATGAAGATGAACAAATATTTGAAATACAGAATTTTATTTAGAAATAGTCACCAATTATATTTTAAGAAAATATACCGAAGTAGTTTTATTTTTTTCTTTTCTTTTTTTTTTGAGACAGTATTACTCTGTTGCCTGAGCTGGAGTACAGTGGCATGATTTCGGCTCAACGCGACCTCTGCCTTCCGGGTTCAAGCAATTCTCCTGCCTCAGCCTCTGGAGTAGCTGGGATTCCCCAGTATCACTCCTGGGTAATTTTTTTTTGTATTTTTAGTAGAGATGGGGTTTTGTCACGTTGGCCAGGCTGGTCTCGAACTCCTGACCTCAAGTGATTTGCCCACCTTGGCCGCCCAAAGTGCTAAGATTACAGGCATGAGCCACCGTGCCTGATCCCAAAGTAGTTTTAGAAATAAGGTCAGGCGTCTTTTGTTGCCAGAAAAAAAAAAGTTGTGCATGTGTGTGTGGGGGAAGACTTACTTTCTGCAGTTTGCATTATTATTTCATCAAGCTCTTTTTCCAGTTTCTCATAAATGTCTAGCCTTGCTTGATGCTCTGAGTTCTGTGCTTGAAGTTCAGTAATGCGTTTTTCAGAAGAGGCTTGGAGACTATAAAATTCTTTGGTTAAAACCTAATAGTGAAAGAGAAGAATTACAAAGGCAGAATTAAACAGGTGCACAGTTAAGACAAAAACATGATGCAAAGACATTCATAGGGCTTTTTTTGTTATTTAAATATTAAGAGAAAGTAGCTCAATTAAGATGACTAATGAGGAAATTAAATATATTTATTTCTAAGGTAAATAATTCAGTTGTTTTTAACTGAAAATTATGAAGTACCTTATCCTTATTTTATAAGCTGAATAAAAAATGAATTTAAAATTAGGAATAATTATAGGAGTAATATTAGCATTTGCTTGTTAGAATTTAAAAAAATACAATGTCATATTTACATAGAGGTCATTTATCTGGCAATCAAAGCCATTTGACAGAGGCTTACAAAGCTGTTTGTAAAAACGATATACTGACAATAAATCCTTCAATTTTCCATCAGAGCTTATTGAATTACCCTTACTATGATCTTAATAACATTTTTGGTTTTCTGAACAGTCATAAATTCAAAGCAGGAAATCAAAAGGTAAATGTGAAGTACTGCTTGAGGCAGTATCAGAAAATGCCTTTGTGAACAACTAAAACACATTAAAAATGAGATGCAAAGGGCATGGAAATTGGAGTCATTTTGTATACAAGCAAAAAATCCTACACTCCAATGGTAATTCATTGAAGGAAACACCATGATGACAACAATAAATTAACTAAAAAAAGAGATGCCTCTAGTGATACGGAAATGTTTTAATGCTTAAATTCCAATTATCTAGAATGCTTACTTATTTTTACAGACTAAATTATGGAGTGGTATTACACCTGCTTTCTAATACAACATAATATACTGTTTCCTGAGAGGCAACAGACTACTACAGTGAAGAATATGGTTTGGAGCCAGAAAAATTTGGATTTCAATATGGCTTTGACACTTACTAGCTGTGATCTTAGGCAATTACTTATTCTTTATAGGCCTACCTTAAAACACTGTTGAAAGAAATTAAATGAGATGATAAATTTACAGTGCTTAGCAGAGTACCTAGAACATAGTGTTGAAAAGTACTATTGCTACTGTAAGAAATATAACTATATGACAATTCTGCATGAAATAGTTCATGCAAATAGAGTTCCACTAATTTAATTATCTTGAATTCTCTACAATTAAACACTTTTAAAGACAACTATTTTCTCTAATGACATAAAGTTCACAATACAAAATGTGTATGATTATATGTTTTCTGTGATGTGGAAAAAGGGAGAAGGAAGACCTATTTACAGTTCTCAATGAGCAGAAATTATAATTTTCCTTAACTTATTTCAGATCATTTCCTTCAATTTTCAGCAAAACTTTCCCCCAAAGTAAACAAAACATTATCCCTCACTCTCCATATACATTCCTTTGGAGAGTGGAGAAGGAATAAAATGGGAACAGCATTTTTATGGTGATTTCCAGTGGCTCTGGTTGGGTCAGAAAAAACAAAATGTGTGTTTTAGCATTATTTCTTCTTTATTCTTGCTTGTTGGGAATGTGTTTTCTAGAAACTTGTTAATTCATTATAAAAAAATCATTACTCAGTGACATTATCTGGGGCTTACATGGAGTTCATTACATTGGGATGTAATTCATTAAGAATCTGGTGGCTGATGAAACTAATTCCACTGTCAAAAGAGAGAATCAGTAAAGGCAGTGTTAAATGACTATTCCCACAGCAGAGCTGATACTTTTTCATTTGTACCCCACCTCCCCCTGCAAAACCACCACACGAAGAAAAACAGGAGAAATGATTAGAGATAAGGAATCAAAATGTTGAAGATGGGATATTTTATAAGATATTATTTTAAGGAGAGATTTAAAAACCATTACGAGAGATGTAATTTAAAAAATATCTTCATAATGTGAAAGAGAGGTCCTGAAAAACTACTGATGTGGGCTATCTCCCAATACCTCTAGTACCCCATATTAGAGAATTTTCTGTTTCTGTGGATTTGTCTGAGTGGTTGTTATAAGTAAACCTATTACTGCTTCTGAAATGCCAAAGAGAACTTGACTGTTGGACCCATGGTAGGCTATAATATTAAGGATTTGTTTTAATAAAAATCAATACATGAACATTTCAGTTTAAATATGGATACATAAAATAAGCCCATTAATTTTAGGAATCCATTAAATATAAAGTTCTCACAGTAAAATTTTCCTTCCTTTGAATAATACATGTATTAACTGAATAATACAAAGATTAAATAATGATAATACAAAATTATAATTTTGCCTTAAACAGAGACAAATATATAAAGCCAACGCTTCTGGGAGCCTTTGCCAATTAATAATTAAGCAAAAATAAATAATCTCCAAATTAACAATCAATGAGAATACTGGGTAAAAGCCCAGAAAAGTCCATTATCTTTACCATGATGAAATTATTTCTCTATAAATTAATTATAAATAAGAATTGTCTTAAAAATACTTTGTAGAATCCCCCCCACCAAAAGATTCAAACTATGATACTACATTATTCTTAATCAAACCATTCATTCATCAAGTATTTATTGAGGATTCATTATGAGAGAGGCACTGTGTTAAGCACTGCTGACACAATGATAAATGAATAATCTCTCTGCTTTCTCAAGGCTTCAGTTTAATAGGGGCACACAACGTTAAGAAATGCCCTCAAGCCTCAGTTTTAACAACCAGAATCTTTAGAACCACAACATTTTTTAGAAAGGTGTTTTTCCATATATGACCTTTAAACAAAGCATAATAATTACTAGTCACCTGCATCCAGAGACCAAGTTGACAGGTCTATGAGAGTCCTTTGCAAACTGCAAGTTGCAATTTTTTGGAGGTTATAAAATCAATTTTGTTTGTAACCAGCTAAAGGCAATAAAAAAAGGATGTGTGGGAGAATCACCTGCAACAGATTATGACTCTACAGCATTTTCCTGAAGAAAGTATAGGAAAAAAGTTTTAAATACTGAACATTGATTTGCTTTATAAGTAGACACCATCTACAAATTTTGCTTGTCTTTTTAAACATACATATATATTTAATATATTTTTATGTTTTTCACTAAGGCTTTATTTTCTGAGGCCCTTTAATTAGTTTCACTAATCAGAGTAATTTCCAGAAGTGTAATCTTGGAGAGATTACTGTAATAAATATTAAATATTGTGGTGGTTAAAAGTATGGGATTTACGCTGGGTGTGGTGGCTCACGCCGGTAATCCCAGCACTTTGGGAGGCTGAGATGTGCGGATCACGAGGTCAGCAGTTCAAGACCACCCTGGCCAACGTGGTGAAACCCTGTCTCCACTAAAAATACAAAAATTAGCCGGGTGTTGTGGTGCGTGCATGTAATCCCAGCTACTCAGGAGACTGAGGCAGGAGAATTGCTTCAACCTGGGAGACAGAGGTTGCGGTGAGCTGAGATCATGCCATCACACTACAGCTTGGGTGACAGATAGAGTGAGACTCTGTCTCCAAAAAAAAAAAAAAGTATGGGATTTAAAGTGAGGTTGGTCAGGTGTTAAGGTCTAATCACAGTTCAGTCACTTACTAGTTGTGCGATATTAAATAATATAACCTCTCTAGAACAAAAAAGTAGAAATAAAACATTAAAATGAGTCAAGGCTGATTTGTTAGTTAACAACCCCCCTTTATGGTGTATTTCTTCAAAATCTTTTATTCTCACCTTAGACATTAAAAAAAAATCCAGTGCATACAGCTGTGTAAAGGAATATTGTCACCTAGTATTATAAGTGTATTTTCTATATTATGTGGTCTTAAAATATCAAATGAATGCCATTAAAAAAGAAATATTTTGCCAGGCATGGTGGCTCACACTTGTAATCCCAGCACTTTGGGAGGACAAGGCAAGTGGATCACCTGAGGTCAGGAGTTTGAGATCAGCATGGCCAACACGGCAAAACCCTGTCTCTACTAAAAATACAAAAATTAGCTGGGTGTGGTAGCGTGCGCCTGTAGTCTCAGTTACTTCAAAGGCTGAGGCACAAGAATCGCTTGAACCTGGGAGGTGGAGGTTGTAGTGAGCCGAGACGGTGCCACTGCACTCCAGCCAGGGTGACAGAGCAGGACTCCTCCTCAAAAAAAAAAAAAAAAAAAAAAAAAGAAATATTTTGATATTTTGGATAAATGACAAATGTATGCAACACATGTATTTCCAAAATAAAGACAAACCAGTTCTATTTTATGATATTTATCCTGTAACTGAATTGCATTATAATTTGGGGGAAACTACTTTAATATCTGATTTTCAATTGAGAAAGGCTTCTAATTGAATAACTTTCAGTTTCTTTGCATTGTAGTTTCTGTTTAATGACCTATAATTTCATATTTTTGTAACTGTAAAATAAACCTTCATATGCAGAAAGGAAAATTGGAAGATTAAAATGCTTGAGTTTATTAGTGGGCACACTATTATGGGATCTGAAAAGTGAAAAAAAAAAAATCTTTTACCCAACAAATAATTATCTTTTGGGAAAGGATACTTCCATTTTCCCGTCATTTCCCAACTTAACTAAAACAAAATTCTATAGCATCAAAACAATATTTTGAGGATTTCTATGAATTGGTACTGAGCATAAATGGTTGTTTTATATGAGCCAAACAGATATAACAACATTATGAAACAGTTGCTATTATTATTCCCAAAGAAAATGAGTATTTTATCCAGAGAGTGGTGAGTAACTGGGTTCAAATCTTAGGTCTGTTGAGCCTAAAGCCCACAGGCCAATCCCTACCCAATACTGCCAGAAGAAATTCTATTTGGGCAGAAAATACCTTACATTTTTCTTTTATGATAAAACTAAGGAGAAAAGTTTTCAAATCCTACCACTGCCTAATAGTAAGGATGTGTATGCTCTGGTTAATTGTCTAGAGCATGCAGTCTAATACCAGAGTCATTAAATACATGTAGCTAATTTTAGATTTAATTTAATTAAGATTAACTAAAGAAGCTTGGTTCCTCAGTGAAGTAGCCATATTTCAAGTGCTAAATGATCACACGTGGCAAGTGGCTACTGAACTGGATATTGCAGATATAGAATATTTGCATCATTACAGAAAGCTCTATTCAAAGCCCTGTTCAAAATTCTTAGTTTCCTGAAGATAGGAATCATTTCTTAAAATTTGTGTAACTGGGCCCAGCACAGTGCTTACTGCCTAATAGACACTCAGTTACAAAGTACTGCATACTATCAATTCAATTAACTATGTGCCAGGTTCTGGCTGAGACCTAGAAGCATATTTTTAAAAAGGTCTTAGTCTAGGGGGGGAGAATGAAGATATAAAAATCACCCATAATTATACCATTTATAGATAAACTTTAATATCTGGATATATTTGGCTGGGCGCGGTGGCTCACGCCTGTAATCCTAGCACTTTGGGAGGCTGAGGCAGGGGGAATCACTTGAGGTCAGGAGCTTGAGATGAGCCTGGCCAACATGGTGAAACCTCGTCTCTACGAAAAACATAAAAACATTAGCTGGGCGTGGTGGTGCACGCCTGTAATCTTAGCTACTCGGGAGGCTGAGGTGGGAGGATGGCTTAAACTGGGGAAGCAGAGGTCGCAGTGAGCCGAGATTGTGACACTGCATTCCAGCCTGGGAGACAGAGTGAGACTGTCTCAAAAAAAAAAAAAAGATTTATTTCCTTCAAATGTTTTTCTATGTATATTGATGATTTTTACTGAACATGTAAACCATAGTCAAGACCATACTAATTTCCTAACTGCATCCTTCATTCCATGTTTTTAATTAGCCTTTTCCCCAAATCTAAAATACCCAAGAACATGCAGTGCATGGACACAGCAAAATACACAATTTATAATATGCTAATTGAAAACTTTATCTACTGTTGGACACTTAAGTTACTTCTAATTTTTACATAATAAATAATGCTGCGACATGCATCATTTATATAAACCTTTATACGTATCTCTATTTCCTTAGATAAAATTCCTTTAAGTAAAATTACTGGATCAGCTTTTTTTCTTTCCATTTTATTTTGGGGGTTTACTTAATATTTAAAAGCTGAGGAAAGATTAATACCACCCACTTGGTATATTGCCTACTGATGCAGAGACTATAGGCTCAGATGCCAACAATCAATTCTTTTTTTTTTTTTTAAAGCCACACAGCCCTTATTTATTAATTATTTTTCCGTAAGTTATTGGGGTACAGGTGGTATTTGGTTACACAAGTTAAGTTCTTTAGCGGTAATTTGTGAGATCCTGGTGCACCCATCAACCGGGGCAGTATACACTGCACTATATTTGTAGTCTTTTACCCTTTCCCTGTTCCACTCTTCCCCCCAAGTACCCAAAGTCCATTGTATCATTCTCATGCCTTTGCGTCCTCATAGCATAGCTCCCACATATCAGTAGAACATGTGACATTTGGTTTTCCATTCCTGAGTTACTTCCCTTAGAATAATAGTCTCCAATCTCATTTAGGTCACTGCAAATGCTGTTAATTCATTCCTTTTTATGGCTGAGCAGTATTCCATCATGTGTGTGTATACACACACACACACACATATACATACACACTACAGTTTCTTTATCCATTCGATTGATAGGCATTTGGGTTGGTTCCACGATTTTGCAATTGTGAATTGTGCTGCTATAAACATGTGTGTGCAAGTATCTTTTTCAAATAATGACTTATTTTCCTTTGGGTAGATGCCCAGTAATGGGATTGCTGGATCAAATGGTAGTTCTACTTTTAGTTCTTTAAGGAATTTCCACACTGTTTTCCATAGCAGCTGTACTAGATTACTTTCCCACCAGAAACGTAGAAGTGTTCCCTGATCGCCGCATCCATGCCAACATCTACTGGTTGGTTTTTTTTTTTTCTTGAGAAGGAGTCTCGCTCTTGTCACCCAGGCTGGAGTGTAGTGGCATGATCTTTGCTCACCGCAACCTCTTCTTCCCGGGTTCCAGTGATTCTCCTGCCTCAGTCTCTCGAGTAGCTTAGATTACAGGCACCTGCCACCATGCCTGGCTAATTTTTTATTTTTAGTAGACAGGGTTTCACATGTTGGCCAGGCTGATCTCGAACTCCTGTCCTCAGGTGATCCGCCTGCCTCGGTCTCCCAAAGTGTTGGGATTACAGGCGTGAGCCACCGTGCCCAGCCTACTGCTTTTTGATTCTTTGATTGTGGCCATTCTTGCAGGAGTAAGGGGGTACTGTATCGTGGTTTTGTTTTGCATTTCCCCAATCATTAGCAATGTTGAGCATTTTTTCATGTTTACTTGCCATTTGTATATCTTCTTTTGAGAATTGTCTATTCATGTCCTAAGCCCACTTTTTGATGGGATTGTTTTTTTTACTGATTTGAGTTCACTGTAGATTCCGGATATTCATCCTTTGTCAGATATATAGATTGTGAAGATTTTTCTCCCACTTTGTGGGTTGTCTGTTTACTCTGTTGACTGTTCCTTTTGCTGTGCGAAAGCTCTTTAATCAGGTCCCAGCTATTTAGCTTTTGTTTGTTTGTTTGTTTTTTGCTTTTTGTTTTGAGACGGAGTTTTGCTCTGGTTGCCCAGGGTGCAGCGGAATGGCGCAATCTCGGTTCACTGCAATGTACGCCTCCCGGGTTCAAGAGATTCTCCTGCCTCAGCCTCCCCAGTAGCTGGGATTACAGGCATGCACCACCACACCTGGCTAATTTTGTCTTTTTAGTAGAGACGGTGTTTCACCATGTTGGTCAGGCTGGTCTTGAACTCCCAACCTCATGTAATCTGCCTGCCTTGGCCTCCCAAAGTGCTGGAATTACAGGCATGAGCCACTGCACCTGGCCAGCTTTGTTTTTATTGCAATTGCTTTTGGGTTTCTGGTCATGGAATCCTTGCCTAAGCCAATGCCTAGAAGGGTTTTCTGATGTTAGGTTCCAGAATTTTTATAGTTTTGGGTCTTAGGTTTAAGTCCTTTATCCATCTTGAGTTGACTTTTGTATAAGGTGAGAGATGAGGATCCAGTTTCATTCTCCCACATGTGGCTAGCTAATTATCCCAGCACCATTTATTGAAAAGGGTGTCCTTTCCCCACTTTGTTTTTGTTTGCTTTGTCAAAGGTCAGTTGGCTGTAAGTATTTGGGTTTATTTCTGGTTCTCTATTCTGTTCCATTGGTCTATGTGCCTATTTTTATACCAGTACCACACTGTTTTGGTGACTATGGCCTTATAGTATAGTTTGACATCAGGTAGTGTGATACCTCCAGATTTGTTCTTTTTGCTTAGTCTTGCTTTGGCTATGCGGGTTCTTTTTTGATTCCACATGAATTTTAGAATTTTTTTTTCTAACTCTGGGAAGAATGATGGTGGTATTTTGATGGGGGTTGCATTAAATTTGTAGATTCTTTTGGCAGTATGGTCATTTTCATAATATTGATTCTACACATCCGTGAGCATGGGATGTGTTTCCATTTGTTTGTGTCATCTATGATTTCTTTCAGCAGTGTTTTGTAGTTTTCCTTGTAAAGGTCTTTCAACTCCTTTGTTAGGAATATTCTTAAGTATTTAATTTTTTGCAGCTATAGTAAAAGGGGTTGAGTTCTTGATTTGACTCTCTGCCTGGTCGCTGTTGGTGTATAGAAGTGCTACTGATTTGTGTACATCAATCTTGTATCCGGAAACTTTGCTGAATTGTTTAATCAGTTCTAGGAGCTTTCTGGAGTAGTACTTAGGGTTTTCAAGGTAAACGATCATATGGTCAGCAAACAGGGACAGTTTGACTTCCTCTTTACTGATTTGGATGCCCTTTATTTCTTTCTCTTGTTTGATTGCTTTGGCTAGGACTTCCAGTACTATATTGAAGAGGAGTGGTGAGAATGGGCATCCTTGCCTTGTTTCAGTTCTCAGCAGGGATGCTTTCAATTTTTCCCCATTCAGTATTATGTTGGCTGTAGGTCTGTTATAGATGGCTTTTATGATGTTAAGGTATGCCGATTTTGCTGAGGGTTTCAATCATAAAGCGATGCTGGATTTTGTCTAACGCTGTTTCTGCATCTATTGAGGTGTAATTTTTGTTTTTAATTCTGTTTATGTGGTTATCACATTTATTGACTTGCATACGTTAAACCATCCAGCATCCCTGGTATGAAACCTACTTGGTCGTGATGGATTATCTTTTTGATATGTTGTTGGATTTGGTTAGCTAGTATTTTGTTAAGGATTTTAGCATTTATGTTCATCAAAGATATCAGTCTGTAGTTTTCTTTTTTGGTTGTATCCTTTCCTGGTTTGGTATTAGGGTGATGCTGGCTTTATAGAATGAATTAGGGAGGGTTCCTTCTTTCTCTATCTTGTGAAATAGTGTCAAAAGGATTGGTACCAATTCTTCTTTGAATGTCTGGTGGAATTCTGCTGTGAATCCATCTGGTCCTGGACTTTATTTTTGGTAATTTTTAAATTACCGTTTCAATCTCGCTGCTTGTTATTGGTCTTTTTAGGGTATCTAATTCTTCTTGATTTAAGCTAGGAGGGTTGTATTTTTTCAAGGAATTTATCCATCTCTTTTAGGTTTTCTAGTTTATGTGTGTAATGATATTCACAGTAGACTTGAATAATCTTTTGTATTTCAGTGGTGTCAGTTGTAATATCTCCTGTTTCATTTCTCAGTGAGGTTATTTGGATTTTCTTCTTTTCTTGGTTAATCTTGTTAATGGTCTATCAATTTTTTTTTTTTTTTTCTGAGATGGAGTTTCGCTCTTGTTGCTCAGGCTGGAATGCAATGGTACGATCTCTGCTTACTGCAACCTCTGCCTCCCAAGCTCCAACAATTCTCCTACCTCAGCCTCCTGAGTAGCTGGGATTACAGGCATGAGCCACATGCCCGGCTTTATTTTTTTTTTTTTTTTGCATTTTTAGTATAGACAGGGTTTCTCCATGTTGGTCAGGCTGGACTCGAACTCCCAACCTCAGGTGATCCGCCCACCTCAGCCTCCCAAAGTGCTGGGATTACAGGCGTGAGCCACCGTGCCTGGCCTGATCTATCAATTTTATTTATCTTTTCAAAGAACCAGCTTTTTGTTTCATTTACCTTGTGTATTTCTTTTTGTTCAAATTTCATTTAGTTCTGCTCTGATCTCGGTTATTTCCTTTCTTCTGCTGGGTTTGGTTTATTCTTGTTTCTCTAGTTCCTTGAGGTGTGACCTTAGATTGTCTGTTTGTGCTCTTTCAGACTTTTTGATGTAGGTGTTTAGGGCCATCAACTTTCCTCTTGGCACTGCCTTAGCTGTATTCCAGAGGTTTGGGTAGGTTGTGTCATTACTGTCATTCAGTTCAAACAATTTTTAAATTTCCATCTTGATTTCATTTTTGACCTGATGCTCATTCAGGAGCAGGTTATTTAACTTCCATGTATTTGTGTGATTCTGAAGGTTCCTTTTGGAGTTGATTTCCAGTTTTATTCCACTGCAGTCTGACAGAGGGCTTGATATAATTTCAATTTTCTTAAATTTATTCAGGCTCATTTTATGGCCTATCAGATGGTCTATCTTGGAGAAAGTTCCATGTGCTGTTGAATAGGATGTGTATTCTGCAGTTGTTCGATGAAATGTTCTGTTTACATCTGTTAAGTCCATTTGTTCCAAGGTACAGTTTAAATCCAGTTAAATCCATTGTTTCTTTGTTGACTTTCTGTCTTAAAGACCTCTCTAGTGCTGTCAGTGGAGTACTGAAGTCCCCCACTATTACTGTGTTGCTGATTATCTCATTTCTTAGGTCTATTAGTAATTGTTTTATAAATTTGGGAGCTCCAGTGTTAGGTCCATTGTGATATTTTCCTGTTGGACAAGGCCTTTTACCATTATATAATGTCCCTCTTTGTCTCTTTTAACCACTGTTGCTTTAAAGTTTTTTTTGTCTGATGTAAGAATAGCTACCCCTGCTCGCTTTTGGTGTTCATTGCATGAAATGCCTTTTTCCACCCCTTTAAGTTTATGTGAGTCCTTATGTGTTAGGTGTGTCTCCTGAAGGCAGCAGATGGTTAGTTTGCAAGTTCTCATCCATTCTGTAGTTCTGCACCTTTTTTAAGTGGAGCATTTAGGCCATTTACATCTAATGTTAGTACTGAAATGTGAGGTACCATTGCATTCATCATGCTTTCTGTTGCATGTGTACTTTTTTTGTTGTTGTTTTTGATTTTTAACTTGTATTTTTGTTTTATAGGTCCTGTGTGATTTATGCTTTGAAGCAATTTTGTTTTGATGTTTCCAGGATTTGTTTCAAGATTTAGAGCTCCTTTGAGCTGTTCTTATAGTGGTGGCTTGGTAATGGTGAATTCTCTCAGCATGTATTTATCTGAAAATGACTGTATCTTTCCTTTATTTATGATGCTTAGTTTCACTAGATACAAAGTTATTGGCTTATAATTGTTTTGTTTGAGGATGCTGAAGATGGGATCCCCAATCCTTTCTAGCTTGTAGGCTTTCTGCTGAGGAATCTGCTGTTAATCTTATAGGTTTTCCTCTATAGGAAAACCTGGTGCTTCTGTCTCACAGCTCTTAAGATTCTTTCCTTCGTCTTAACTTTGGATAACCTGACGACAATGTGCCTAGGCGAAAATCTTTTTGCAATGAATTCCCCAGGTGTTCTTGGTGCTTCTCGTATTTGGATGTCTAGGTCTCTAGCAAGGCCAGGGAAGTTTTCCTCAATTATTCCCCCAAATATGTTTTCCAAGCTTTTAGAATTGTCTTCTTCCTCAGGAACACTGATTACTCTTAGGTTTGGTTGTTTAACATAATCCCAAATTTCTTGGAGGCTTTAGTCATATTTTCATATTCTTTTTTCTTTGTCTTTTTTGGATTGGGTTAATTCGAAGACCTTGTCTTCAAGCTCTGAGTTTCTTTCTTCTACTTGTTCAATTCTATTGCTGAGACTTTCCAGAACATTTCGCATTTTTAAAAGCATGTCCAAAGTTCACTGAATTTTTGATTTTTTTTCTTTTAGCTATTTCCTTGAATATTTCTCCCTTCACTTCTTGTACCATTTTTTGGATTTCCTTGCACTGGGCTTCACCTTTCTCTGGTTCCTCCCTTACTAGCTCAATAACTAACCTCCTAAATTCTTTTTCAGGTAAATTAGGGATTTCTTGGTTTGGATCCACTGCTGGTGAACTAGTGTGATTTTTGGAGGGTCATGAAGAGCCTTGTTTTGTTATATTACCAGGGTTGGTTTTCTGGTTCCTTCTCATTTGGGTAGGCTCTCTCAGAGGGCAAGTCAAGGGCTGAAGGCTGTTGTTCAGGTTCTTTTGTTCCTCACGAAGTGTTCCCTTGATGTAGTACCCTACCCCTTTTCCTGTGGATGTGGCTTCCCGTGAGCCAAAATGCAGTGATTGTTGTCGCTCTTCTGGGTATAGCTACCCAGTGAGTCTACCCAGCTCCAGGCTGGTACTGGGGTTTTCTGCACAGTCTTGTGATGTGAACTGTCTATGGGTCTCTCCATCATGGATACCAGCACCTATTCTGGTGGAGGTGGCCTAGGAGGATTATGGCTGCCTCTGCTGAGTCATGCAGGTTGTCAGGGAAATGGGGGAAAGCCAACAGTCACAGGCCTCACCCAGTTCCCACGAAAACTGAAGGGCTGGTCTCGCTCCCACTGGCTCCCCCCAACACAACAGCCCAAGAGTCTGTTTCCAGGCCCAGAGTGAGTTGGGCTTGAAAACTTGCCCGAGGCTTTCCACCTCCCAGAGTATTTGGGGTGTCTTCCGGGTCCTGCAGGAGCAGTCCGCTTCCTTCAGAGGGTCTGTGGGTCCTCTCAGGATTGCTGGTTTGTTCTTGCAGTCGATCTGGAGCTAAAATTCACAATCTGGATCAACCTTCTAAGGCTTTTAACACAGATTACCATAATGTCCAGAAGGGCTGTTTCATTTTCTAACTCATGAGATTTCCCACTTAAGGGTACTCTTGCCAGCATTTTAAAAACAACACACAGACCTATCTAAAGGTAAAAAAAAAAGTTTAAATTTATAAATTTATATTTTGGTACTTATCAGTGAGAATTCATATTTTCATTTATTTATTTATTAGCAATTTGCATTTCATTTCTTGGAAATGGTCCATTCCTTTTTTTTCCCACTTATTTATGTAGAAGGCGAAGGCATGTCCTCTTGATAAAATATCTTTTAAACTTAAGGACATAAGCCCTTTGTCATATATAACACAAATACTGTTTTTCAGTTTCTATTTTGCCTTTAATATTATATATATTATTTTAAATATTATTTAAGTTTAAATATAAATTTAAAAATTTATGAATTTTATGAATTTATGAATTTTAAAATTTATGAATTTTAAAAACAAATTCAGGTTTTATTTTTCCTATATAATTTCTTTCCTGGCTTTCATCAGATTAACAGATTAATTCCCAAAGTAAACATAAGATATAATTTCATCTGTATTTACTTTAAAAAATTTTTTTGATGTAGTCTTGCTCTGTTGCCAGGCCAGAGTGCAGTGATGTGATCTCAGCTCACTGTGGCCTCGACCTCCTGGGCTTAAGCAATCCTCCCTGTCTCAACCCCCAAGTAGCTGGGACTACAGGTGCATGCCACCACACCTAACTTTTACATTTTTTTAGTAGTAGACGAGGTTTCACCATGTTGGCCAGGCTGGTCTAGAACTCCTGACCTCAGGTGATCCACCTACCTCAGCCTCCAAAAGTGCTGGGATTACAGGCGTGAGTCACTCACTGCCCCTGGATCATCTGTATTTACTTCTAATACCTTTATAGCTACACACACACACACACACACACACACACACACACTATATATATATATAATATATATATTATATATTGTACATATATGCAGCCTAGTAATCCATCTGAGTTTAATTTTGCTATACGGTATGAGGTATTGAGTCAACTATTTTCTCTAAATATTCAAATGATTATCACAGCATCATTTATTGTCCAATCCATACTTTCCCTACTGATTTGAAATATGACCTTTACCATGTATAAATTCTTAAATTTATGTAAATATGTTTTGGGGCTTTACATTTTATACCATTTGTGAACTAATTTTGTGTGCAGTTTAATTATTCTTGCCTCAGAACACACTTTAAAATGTGATATATATTTCCATTATTTCTTTTTAAAAAGTACTTTTAAAAATATTGACTATTCTGTATGTTTTTCCTTCCAGTTGTTCTATAGAATTATTTTCAGTTAAAAAATATGCTGGCATTTGATTAGATAGAAACATATCATATTATTTGATGAAAACTGAAAAAATGTATACTTCATTCCCTCCCAGAAACATGGTGTTTCATTTCACATGTCAGTGAAGTTCTATAGTTTTCTTCGTATACATTCTGCACTGTTCTTATTTAAAATATTCCAAGTCATTATATATTTTTGGTTGCTATTGTGAATGACATCTTTTCTTGCTTTTTTTGTTTCTCAACAATTCTAGTCCTTTTCAGTATACATCTTTCTGAAATACGTATTTCCTTGTTTTTTTTTTTTTTTTTTTTTTGTGCAGGATAGTGATACATCCTATAGGAGAAATAAAGCTCAATATAAATCTTGTACTTAGGGAGTTTACATGCCATGCTAATGTTGAAAGAAAAGCTTGTACATGTACCTCCAATTTTTTCTGATATTTTTCACATTCCAATTGACACTGTGTGAGATTTCTTGCTGTTTCCTCTTGCAGAAGTTGAACACGCTCACTTTCAAAAGATTTTAATTTACTTTGATGGAGAAATTCTGTTACTTTGCTTTCTGTACTAAGTTGTAGTTCTCTGTACCTGAAAGAAGCAGAATGGTTATGACACTCTAAAGAAAGCAGTCTCAATGATTTAAGTAATCATAAACCTTACTTCTATGTTTTCTACTCCCCCATATTTGTGGAGTTAATAATTTATATTTATTCAGCAAAGCTTTTATAAATAATTTAGGTAGGTATATGTATGAAAATAAGTAATTACAGTGAACATATCAATTAACTTTCACCATTCTACCCTTATTTTCATTCTTTCTAGCCAAAATAATTATTTCCTATCATTTTGTAAATGGCAAGAGCAAATTTCAGTTACATTGCTTAGAATGATTTAATTTCTATACTTCTCATAGGCCTTTTTAAATCTATGGCATTGTTTCCCAGCTTGCTATTTCATCCTAAGTCTAAATAATGTCAGATGGAGAAGAAAGCAATGAAATATGCATATTAAACTACAAATTCTTGAAACACTTGCAAAATAAACTTAGTACATATACATATATTTTGATATTACAAGAAAAAAATGTACAAACTGTGAAGATAAATATAGACCTACAAGTAGGCTATTACAACTCAGATAAGGAACATTCTCTTCATTCCATAGGTATAACCGGTAATAAAAACATTTCCACTTAACATATAAATCACCACATACTATAAATTTGAAAATACTTAAGGTTGATTGTGTTCTAACAGAAAAGCAAAATACACATACACTGTATCTTTTCAGGGAGTTATTATGAACCAAGTATAATGCTGGGTATGATATTAAAATTCATTTATTCAAATATTTATTAAGCTAGTCAGTATGCTAGGTAAGGTGTATACATTGGTAGATAAAATATTGTTTTTTAAAAGAACTTATAGTTTTCTGGGGAAAACAGGCAAATAAACACGAAAATTCAATGGTAAGTGCTTCAATAGGGTAATCCCTAGGTTCAGTGGGAACACATATGAAGGAGACCTAACTTGGTTTGTATAGAGGGGTGTGTGTGCGTGTGCGTGTGTGTGTGTGTGTGTGTGTGTAAGGCAGGAGGAGGTAAGGGGTGGGAAGTATTCTAGGGAGAAGAAATGTGAGTTATATGCAGGGCAGTGAAGCAGAGAGCATAGTCTGTTTTATCTATGGTATCTCATTTAATTCTTATAACGGATCTACTAGGTATTTTGCAGATGAAGAACCTGAGGCTCAGAGATGTCAAATAATTTCTTTAATAGGAACACACTGCTAGTAAATTTCAGGATGAAGCCCAATTTTATATTAGACTTCACAGCGATAGTCTTTCTGCTATTACATAATATTCATAACTGACATTTCTGAGGTAAGATAAACTTTAAAATGCTTTTTAAAGGCTATTTCACTCCTGTCAGTGAGTGAAAATACCATTCAAAATATAATCAGAGAAGATAGGCATTAGATATACACCATGGGCTACTTCAAGTCTCAGATCGGTGGAAGTTCCATACAATGCACATTACACATTAATATACAGTAAAGTTTTAAAGTGAATGTCAGTTTTTGTGACTAACTTTTTTGGAAAATCCTGGCATTAATTATATAAAACTTTTTACAATTTTATTAAAAAATACCTTTTTATATAGAAAAACAAACACTGATAAATTTTTTACTGAGACATAATTCATATACCATAAAATTCACTCTTTTAACATACACAGTTCTGTGGTTTTTAGCTTATTTACAAATTTGCACATCATTATCTAATTAAAAGCATTTTAATTACCCTACAAAGTCCCCATGTTCATTAGTCACTCCCTATTCTTCTCTTCATCCAGGCCTGGCAACCACTGATCTACTTTTTGTCTCTAAAAGTTTGCTTACTCTGAACATTTCGTATTAATGGAATCATATAATATGTGGCCTTCTGATGTTTTCAAGGTTCATTCATGTTGTAGAATGAATCAACATTTCATTACTTTTTATAACCGAATAACATTCAAATGTTTAACTACATCACATTTTGCTTATCCATCATCAGTTGATGGACATTTGGGTTGTTTCTGATTTTCGGCTATGATGAATAATGCTACCATGAACATTTATGTACAAGTTTTTGTGTAAACATGAATTCATTTCTCTTGGTTATATACCTAGGAACACAATTGCTATGTCATATGTCACTCTATTTTTAACTTTTTGAGAAACTGCCCAACTTTTTTCCAACAGGGTTGCACCATTTTACATTCCCATCAGCAGTAACGAGGGTGCCAATTTCTCCACATTCTTAACAACACTTATCATTGTCTGCCTTTTGATTATGCATTCTAGTGTGCGTGAAGTGGTAAAAAAAATACCTTTTACTAAAAAAAAGTATTAATTCAACATTTTATGACATACAAATGTCCCTGTACTCTTTGAGGCAAGTTGTTTTATAAATATAAATGAATTAAATGTGTGAAATCAATACTTTCTTTGTATGTGAGACTAGGACATACAGAGACCATATTATGAAATAAATTCTGGATAAGTAATTTAGAATGTGATATTGATCTTTAAGATAATTTATCCTAAAAGATTAAACTGCAAATTTTGCCTTTTTATGGATTCGGGATGTTGCTTCGGATATCACTGCCAACTCCAAATAGGTAATTAAAGACTTAGCTTTTAGCATCACCTGTTTTTATTCATTACATGGCACCTGAAAGTTACTTTTGGCACTAATATTATTTCCTTATATTGAAAAGTTAAACAGTAAACAATATTTAGACATGTAGAATACAGAAAATTTAACAGAAGTTAAACAATAAACCATCTAGGTGGTAACAAGAATTATCTCCTAAAAATTTGAATATAGTCTAAGTTTCATAAACTGAAGCTTTGTAAAATGAAATGGTAATTCTAAAGGACTAGTCTATTTCCATGTTGTTTATGTAAGTGAAAGGATCTGCCTCAAATTATTAAGCCTGTGTAAGTATTTTGTTAAACTGAACTCTGAAAATGTTGAACAAACATAGCTACAAAAGTAGCTCCAACAGTGAGGAACTGATGATGCCCAGGAGCTAGTTTCAGGTAACTCCCACTTAACTTGTTTTGCTAATATAACCCATCACATTTTACTTTGTTGACTCAGACTTCTCATCTCGTACTCTCAATCTGAACATCTTATTTGAGGTAAGTCAGTATTATTCATACATTAACAACTTCACGTTTGATATTCTAATTTATTAGCATAGTAACCTTAAGAGGTAAAATTTTCCACAGAGAATCTCCACCTATTCTCACAACCATCTCATCCCCAGGCCTAAAATTTGGCTCCATTTGTCCTTATGCTACATTTGTAACCGGGTTTTTAGTTTTCATAAGACCCAACCATATACCAAATACTACTTTAAAAATAACAGAAAGGACTAGAACTGATGGTTTGCTCTGAAGGAATATTCACTGCAACAGCACTTCCGGGTTTGGAAGTACAGGGAGAAAAAATGTTAAAGGGTGAAAATCAGCTATTACACAGGGAGCTACAAAGAAAGTAATCCATAAGAAGTGCTCTCAGGCTAGGATGAATTAAACTCCCAGTAGCAGGACATGTTCTGGGATGCTGAGAAATAACCACAGGAGAGACATCAATGTGACAGTGGAGTCTCAGAAACAGGAAAACATATTTGGTAATAAAAGTACTGGATAAAACATCAAATAACAGGTTTTCATAACAAAATTTACATTGGCAGTCTTTACATGTAGACTCTACAGGGGAAGTTTTACTTGTTAGACTCTGATGTATTAAGCCACGCATGTATATGGTTTATTCCCAACTCTTATTAACAAGGTCATCATTGGGTAACACAGTGAAAGACCCATATTTAACCCATTTTAACTGCTTATTTAATCTTTTTTATTTCAATGAGAAACAACTGATTTTTGAATTCTGTACACAAAATGTTCATGGCTTGTATTACATTAAAAATTTTGAACCCAGTTATCAAATCTCATTCGGTAAACAGGTTTTCTAAGGCAGAATACCTAAAAAGTACTAAAACTCAGTGGTGAGGTTCATGTAATGACCAGGGCCAGAATATGGTACTTGCATTAAGAAATTTAACAACTGATCCAGGTTGAAAGTAAGATAGTGCAGCAGCTGAGGCAAAGCATTTATCTGTATGTGGCAGGACAACTGTGTACAGATAAAGAGTATGGGAAGTAAGACCCTGCCCCAAGGTAGACTGGCAAGAGAAGTTAAGCAAAGTCACAAGATCTCCAGTACCAGTAAGGGTTCAGGGAAGGATTTTTAGTATTCAGTTATTAGGCAAATTAACTAATAACAAAGCACTGAAAGATATTTTCAACTTTATGTTGAAATATGGGGAGATGGGTCAATAAAGAAAGAATACTGGAGCTTAGAAGAATACACAGAAGTAGGTAGTCAGAGATAGACTGCTAAGTCTTTTGTGTGGGCAGGAAAGTTTAGTTTTAAACTCCACAAGCAAGTGGGGCAGAGGTTGACAAACTTTCTACACTTGAAAGAACTGTGAAACAAAGATGGGCCTAAATCTCCAGATACATTCAGTCTTTGGTAGATTCAGCTATAAGAAATTGGAGTCGACAAGGACAGAAGCTGATGTGTCTAGTCAACTGAGAATTCAATCTTGCTTATAAGGATAAGCTGTTTATATTTTCATAAATTTTCTTCTCTGCACAAGTAAATATTTTCAAATTTATTTTCAATTCTATAAATAATTTATCAAATCCACTGTGAGGCTAAAAACTCCAAACATTACAAATAAATATTACAGACTTCTTTTCTTTTTTTTTTGTATTTTTTGTAGATACAGGGTCTCACTATGTCGCCCAGGCTGGTGTCGAAATCCTGGGCTCAAGCCATCCTCCTATCTCAGCCTTCCAAAGTGCTGGGATTACAGGTGTGGGTCACTGCACCCAGCCCAGACCTCTATCACTACTCTCAATTCCATTTCTCCTTTGAGAGATAATCACTGTGACTAGTTTTCTGTGTATCTAAGAGGTTTGTTTTTTTTTAAACATGTATGTATATCACATATGAATTGATATATCAGTTTTTTTTTTTTAAACAAATGGCATATCACACATATTCTTCTCTGTAACTTCCTTTTTTCATGTAGACTGTCTTGGGATCCGTTTTTTCCATGTCTATACCTCATTCTTTTCATTTGCTATATAATAGACCACAATGTGGACATAATCATTTAATTAATTCCAATTTATTTAATTCTAAACGGATTAACATTTAGATTGTTTCAAAATGCTTCAAAGCATTATACACAGTGCTTCAAAGATCATCCTAAGAATTGCCTCCCATGCACAAGCAAACATTTAAGAAAGATACCATGAAGTGAAATTGTTGGGTCAAAAGATTTTAAATTTTGATACTGCCATTTTTCCTCTCAAATGGCTACATCAATTTAAAATGCAACTCTAAGTGTATGAAATATGGTTTCTCCATCTCCTCACCAATATTTGATATTATTCTCTATAAATGTTTGCTATGCATATTACATATGAATTATGCTTTCATATAAAATTTGCTCTCCTTCCCCCAATATTATCTTAAAAATCTTCTTATGTTATTAAACCTCCTTCAAAAATAAGATTTTCAATTGGCCTCATAATTTTCCATTCTCAACAATTCTTTCATTGTTAAATAGTTAACCTCTCCCCAATTTCTCACCCATTGTTCACAACAAACAGTATACCTAGTTTATTCACCCACCAAATTCAATGGGCTTTACTCTGAATGGTTGAATTTCCAAAAACAAAAACTTCTCTTTGAAGGAAGAAGACTGTTAAAATGAAAAGTTATTCCAAGAACTGTGCTGTAAAATAACTGAATTGAGCAATACCAACACGGTCGGAAAAAGCATACGGGCTTCTACTGTATTGACCTTGGTGGAGGGTATTCTTATTTGTGTCCATATATTCTGATGTGTTTCTTTTAAAAATAAAAACTTGACTCATTATATACATATTTAGACGTGAATCATGGATATATCTAAAATCACACAAGGACACTGAGTTATATAAAAAGAAAGGAAGTGTACATCCTGAAGAAATAAGAAATAATATCCCATACAGGTAAAGATATCTGGGAAAAGAGAGGTGAGAGGAGAAAATTACATTTTTACATTACATGGTTCAACTTAAAAATTAATTTTACTGAAGGCAACTCAAAAAATTTTTATATGAGAAATTTAAAAATAAAAAATTAAGTACTTTCCATTTAAATAATTTTGGCTTAGATATATCCTTTACTTCTCAAAACAAAGTGTTATTAGCTAAACAGAGATGAAGTATTACTACATCAGTGGCTAGTATATGGTATAGGTCTTTGGTTAGTTATTTTTTATACCCTGAAAATATTTGAAAGATCTCAGAATACAAAAATAAGCACACTTACCCTATTATACCCAATCTATAACTTCTAATTTTTTTACTTTAAGAAAACAAAAAGTATACAAGTTTTATGTAAACTATATTCACACACATATATATCCATATCATAACTTACAGAGAACATATCTGAAATTACTTTCCTTTCATGTTATTAAAATACAAAATGTTATCTTAGAGATTTTACTTTTGTGCATTACTGCTACCTATTGTTCTACCAACTGTTTTCTTTTGCTTTTTAGTTATCTGTATATTTAAAAATTTTAAATATATACCTGGATACTGAATCAAAATTATTTTTGATGAAAATTAGGGGAGCAATTACATTAGTTCAAAATGTACATATAAAATTATAGAGCCCACAGATTTCCAGTGAGTTGGAAAAAAAAAAAAAAAGAAAAACTATAGAGTAACACAGTTCTATTAACTCAGGTGTTTTCAATGTGAAATTTTCCAAATTGTAAAGAAACAAACTAGGAAAAACTTTTAAAGCCAACATTAATGTCGCAACAATGATGACTAAAGAACGTGAGAAAGGAATTTAAAAGAAGTTTGGGTATTTCTCCAAACGTTTCTGCCATTTAGATGATTTCTTCAACCAGTTCACTTCTCAGCTGCAATACTACATCTGTCATTTTTGGCTTACAAGCTAATTCTTAAATGAATGTGAGAGGTCTTTTTTTGCTGAGTTAAAAATGCTGAGTATGTTTGACAACTGTACCATGGATTTATAAGAATTTCAAGCATGTATTTGGAGTAATTCAATGCATCTATCATATCATGATCAAATAAAATATGTAATGCCATTAATAAAATAAACAACATGTAGTAATATCTGGCCATCTTATAAAGTCAAAAAAATAGGTACTACAGGTATGTGAAGAGTACTTAACTGAAACAAATGTAAGGAAAGGAATGTTGCCATAAAATAAAAGCATGTATGAGATAAAATTAGAGTGAAACATTTTATAACACTGTTATAAAATTTTTATAACAGTGTTATAAAAACTTTATAACACTAGGTCTGATTGGGTCTGTTTTCCCTTTTGTGTCAACATGACAACAAACCCTTAAAATTCAGCTTGAATTATCCTCCGAACCAAGAGTATTTATTATATTAGTGCTTCATAGCACTCAAAACTCTATTTCATGCAGCTTTTAACGTATATCTCAGTGTTGATCTACACTAAAGAAAAAAATTCAGAACATATAAACTGAATCTTAAAAAGTCATTAGAAAAAGCACTTTTAGGGGGATGCTTTTATGAAGAATAGTGTAAAGTATTAATAGTAGCACGATGGAGGCTAATCATGCTTTTGTCCTATTTTTCAGTAATATATAGCTCAAGAAAAGAAATGAATTTACTATGGTTAACATACATATTGTAAAAGGCAAAAAGGGATGTAAAAGTCATTTATTTAGATCTGCTTCCTAACAATAGGGAAGCCCTATAAATGTTAATTTATCCAAATTAGTGTTCTGAAATGGGCTAAGGAATACTCCAAAAAACTCCTGAATACAGCAACCAGAGTCATGGGTCTTTAAGCCTAGATGGTCTGGTAGTAAAGATGGATCATTAGCAACACTTTTTTCTTTTCTAAGGATGCGGATGACTCCTGAGGTTGACTTTACCTAGCCTAACCAGGGAGGACCATCAGAATCACTTGTGGAACTTCTAAGAACTCTAGATGCCACGGTTCTGCCTGAGACTTTCTGAATCAAAATTCTTGGGGGAAAACTTGGGCATGTTGAGTTCTGGATGATAATGTGAGCTAACAAAAGTAAAATGCTCACAACAACACACTGTACAATTAAAATACAAGTTACTTCAGTGCAGGAATCTTGTCTAATCCATCTTTGGATTCCTAGGATCTAGTAAATATTCTGGCATATTATAAGCTCTTAATGAGATAATGGTATATCCAGAATATTACTAACTCTTAATGCTTACTGAGTGAATGAATGGAGTCATAGTAACCATGAGGTTTTTAGGTGTTATAAAATTAGAATGCTAAATAGGTTCAAGCCAGGATAGAAAACATTAAAATATTAAATACTAATTTGATGAGGGGCAGTCTCTTCTGAAGTATGAAAAAACCAGTGAATTAAGATTATTGTTTCCAGGTTTAGGTGTCCGTAAAAGATGAAAACAAATTACAGAGAGTGAAGAAAAGAGAAGCCAAAATGATTATAGGTTAGGTATGTCCAAACTACAAAAAAGATTAAACTTCCAAAAAATATACAGTGTGGATAATGGCTAAGGTGGTAGAAGGAGACATGACAACATTCTAAAAATACTTACAAAAAAGAAATGCAAAAAAGGGAGCAAAAGTAGTGTGATATGACAGGCTCTATCTGAGTTCTGTAACAAGTTAAAATTATTACAAATTTTATACACAATTTTAGGAATCTATGCGTGACTCACTAGCCTACCTACAAGAATGTAATAAAGTTTATCATGAGGGCATACAAAACAGAAGTAAAGAAGACATAAATAGAAGACATAATAAGAACTAAATCACATAATAAGAACTAAATCACTATTTCCCCACCTCTTATTTCTCTCATTAGACTTAATGGACCAAATAATTACTTGTTAGTATTTCTGTTAAATTCTATCTTGGGATGTTCAAACAAATAGATAGTAAATATAATCTTATGTTAGGCACTCAGTAAACACATATTATGTTATAATTATATTTTTATTTTCTACAGCTGTTTATAAAATGAGAAAGTTTAAAAGTTCCAGAAAATGTCTACATACCTTGGTATTTATTTAACCATCTCCAACACTTCAGGATAAAAATGAAATAATAAAGAGCCTAATATAATCAAAGCAACTCAGTATTAATTTAATTAAACAAACTCTAATTTTTAACATCTTACATTATTATTTTGAAGAAATGTCTTCTCTCAAACATTTTCCTGGGCCTTGCTTTTCTCCCTACACTTTTCTTATGTCCTCCCCTTGCAGAAAGTGTTGCTTTTCCTCTCTAGGTTGGCTGAAATTTGGTGCTTTTATTATTGCTCTGTCACTTATTCCTTTTATCTCACTTTCCATTGTAACCATGACTAAGTGGGTTGTGAGAGGCTTGCGATATTAATAAAAAGCCAGTGATGAACTTTAAAGGCATTTATTATACTAAGAGGAAACTTGAATTGGCATGATGCCTATCAGGGTGTGTAGAGACCAATACGAAGGAAAGGAGTCTAACATTTGAGTGCTTTTATTTACTGTCATATACAGGTATAAACAGTTTTTTCATTTAATCATCTCCAAACTGCTAATACAAAATTTAGGATTATTCTTTTTAAAAAATCTTTAATTTTTATAGGTACGTAGTACGTATATGGGATATTTTGATACAGGCATACAATGTGTAATAATTCCATCAGGGTAAATGAGGTATCCATTACTTCAAGGATTTATCTTTTGTGTTACAAACAATCCAATTATACTCTTTTAGTTATTTTATGCATGTATGTATGTATGTGTGTACGTATATATCTGTATATTTAATAGAGACGGGGTTTTGCAATGTTGGCCAGGCTGACCTCAAGTGATCCTCCCGCCCCAGCCTCCCAAAGTGCTGGGATTACAGATGTGATCCACCACACCTGGTCTAGTTATTTTAAAATGTACAATTAGGCCAGGCGTGGTGACTCACGCTTGTAATTCCAGAAGTTTGGGAGGCTGAGGTGGGCGGATTATTTGAGGTCAGGAGTTTGAGGCCAGCCTGGTCAAAATGGTGAAAGCCCCTCTCTACTAAGAATAGAAAAAATTAGCTGGTGTGGTGGCACATGCCTGTGATCCCAGCTACTCAGGAGGCTGAGGCAGGACAATCACTTGAACCTGGGAGGCGGAGGTTTGCAGTGGGCAGAGATCATGTCACTACACTCCAGCCAGGGCTAGAGCTACCATCTGATCCAGCAATCACTGATCCAGTATAAAGCCAGAGAGAGACTCTGTCTAAAAAAAATGTACAATTAAATTCTTACTGACTATAGTCACCATGTTGTGCTTCCAAATAAATCTTATTCAACCTCCCTATTATTTTTGTACCCATTACCCATGCCCCATTCTCCCAACTACCCTTCCCAGTCTCTGGTTACCATCATTCTACTTTCTATCTCTATGAGTTCAGCTGTTTTAATTTTTAGCTCCCACAAACAAGTGAGAACATGCAAAGTTTGTCTTATTGTGCCTCGCTTATTTTACTTAATATAATGACCTCCAGTTCCATTCATGTTGTTGCAAATGACAGAATTTCATTCTTTTTTATGGCCGAAGAATACTCCATTATGTATATGTACCACATTTTCTTTATCCGGTATCTGTTGATGGACACTTGGGTTGCTCCCAAGTCTTGGCTACTGTAAACAGTGCTGCAATAAGTATGGAAGTGCAGATATTTCTTTGATATACTGATTTCCTTTCTTTTGGGATATACACAAAAACTAAAAATAGAGCTACCATATGATCCAGCAATCATTGATCAAGCATAAAGCTACCATATGATCCAGCATAAATCTACTTTTAGTTTTTTGAGGAACCTCCAAACTGTTCTCCATAGTGGTTGTACTAAGTTACATTCCCACCAACAGTGTAGGAGGGTTCTCTTTACTCCACATCCTCATCAGCATTTGTTATTGCTTGTCTTTTGGATAAATGCCCTTTTAACTGGGGTGAGACGATGTCTCATTGTAGTTTTGATTTGCATTTCTCTGATGATCAGTGATATTGAGCACCTTTTCATAACCCTGTTTACCATACGTATGCCTTCTTCTGAGAAATGTCTATTCAGATCTTTTGCCCATTTAAAAATTGGATTATTAGATTTTTTTCCTACTGAGTTGTTTGAACTCTTTATATATTCTGGTTATTAATTCCTTGTCAGATGGATTGTTCGCAAATCTTTTCTCCCATTTTGTGGGTTGTCTCTTCACTTTGTTGACTGTTTCCTTTGCTATGCAGGAGGTTTTCTACTTGATGATATCCCATTTGTCCATTTTTGCTTTGGCTGCCTGTGCTTGTGCGGTATCACTCAAGAAATCTTTGCTCAGAACAATGTCCTAGAGCGTTTCTCCAATGTTTTAGTAGTTTTATAGTTTGAGGTCTTAGATTTAAGTCTTTAACCCATTTTGATTTTACCCTTGTATATGGCAAGAGATAGGGGTCTAATTTTATTCTTCTGCATATGGACATGCAGTTTCCCAGTATAATCTATAGAAGAGACTGTCCTTTCCCCAATGTATGTTGTTGGCAGCTTTCTCAAAAATAAGTTTGCTGGAGATGTATGGATTTGTTTCTGATTTCTCTATTTTTTTTTTCCATTGGTCTGTGTGTCTGTTTTTATGCTGGTACCATGCTGTTTTGGTTACTATAGCACTGTAGTATATTTTGAAGTCAGGCAATGTGATTCCTCAGTTTTGCTCTTTTTGCGTAGGATAGCTTTGGCTATTCTGGGTCTATTGTGGTTCCATATACATTTTAGGATTTTTTTTTCTACTCTTGTGAAGAATGTCATTGGTATACTAAGAGGGATTGCATTGAATCTGTAGACTGCTCTGGGTAAGTATGGACATTTTAACAACATTGATTCTTCCAATCCATGAACATGGAATATATCTTTCCATCTTTTGTATGTTCTCCTCAATTTCTTGCATCAGTGTTTTATAGTTTTCATTGTAGAGATCTTTTACTTTTTTTTTTTTTTTTCAAGATGGAGTCTTGCTCTGTCACTGACGCTGGAGTGAAATGGCATTAGCTCGGCTCACTGCAACCTCCACCTCATGGGTTCAAGTGACTCTCCTGCCTCAGCCTCCCAAGTAGCTAGGATTACAGGTGCACACCACCACGCCTGGCTAATTTTTGTATTTTTAGTAGAAACGGGGTTTCACCATGTTGGCCAGGCTGGTCTCAAACTCCTGACCTCGTGATCCACCCGCCTTGGCCTCCCAAAGTGCTGGGATTACAGGCATGAGCCACTGCACCCGGCCACTTCTTTGTTTAATTCCTAGGTATTTAATTTTATTTGTAGCTATTGTAAATGGGAATACTTTCTTAATTTATTTTTCGGATTGTTCATTGTTGGCATATAGAAGTGCTACTGATTTTGGTACACTGATTTTGTATCCTGCAACTTTACTGAATTTGCCCATCAATTCTAATAGTTTTTTGGTGGAGTCTTTAGGTTTTCCAAATAGAAGATCCTATCATTGTGCTCATTTCAGCAGCACATATATTCAAATTGGAATGATACAGAGAAAATTAGCATGGTTCCTGCACACGGATGACATACAAAATCATGAAGCATTTTGTTTTCAAAAAAAAAAAAAAAATCCTATCATCTAATAACAAGGATAATTTGACTACTCCCTTAACAATTTGACTGCCCTTTATTTCTTTTCCTTGTCTAGTTGCTTTAGCTGGGAATTCTAGTACAATGTTGAATAACAGTGGTGAAAGTGGGCAAGCAGTTATTCTCTTTTTAGAGATAAAGATTCTGAGACTCAGAGAAGTTAACAACTTGCCCAAGTAAGTAGCAAAGCTGAAATCTGCATTCAAGTCTGCCTCAAATTTCTGGGCTAAGTAACAAATCTGCACATATATCCCCTGAACCTAAAAGTTGAATACATACATATATAATAAGGGATCTAGAACAAAAAAGGTCTCAAATAATCTTGAAGCTTCATGAGATTGAAGTATTTTTCAATGTAATGTGACTTTAAGTATTTATTTTTATAGTTTCAAATTTTATTTTAGATTCAGAGGGTTAAATATTCACAAGTAACTATATTAAGCAAGGGTTCTGAAGCCAGACTGCATCAGTTCAAACTCCATACCACTCTTTACTACCTGTGTCTCAGCTTTCATAATTATAAAATGAGCATAACAGTGATAATCTCATTAGGTAATTAGGATAATTAAATGAGTTAATATTGGTAAAATGCTTAAAACTGTATTGGTACAGTAAGCACTATGTGTTAAACATTCAAGTTTGCCAAAGCACTTTGTTTTAAAGCTTGTCATAAGAAAAATAACAGGTGACTTTGTATGTTTCCTGGCTGCAGAGTTCCAATTTTTAGTCTGGCCAAGATGTCTTGTCATGTTCCATGTTTTTCTATAAACCATGAGATGTTCTAATACTTTAAAATATTGGAATTTTGGAAGCACAGAATTTGATTTTTCTTCCATTCAGTGGAATGTAACATCTTATCCTTACCAAGAAACAGAGTTACCCGTTCAAAGTCATAATTTTCCTACCCTGCTAAAGAGATGCATGGGAAAGATATGCATGCTGATATCTCGAAAGCATTGATAAATGGTGACCCATCTATTCAGGCTTGTGAATGATCTCCAAGAAACAGACAGACAATTATCACTGCTGCTTAACTGATGCTGCTGAAAGCTGGCATGCAGACATGTTTTGTAAAGGACCAAAGAGTAAGTATTTTAGGCTTTGTGGGCCAAAAAGTTTCTGTTGCAACAACTCAAATGTGCGGTTGTAGCATAAAAGCAGCCATAGACAATATGTAAACAAATGAGTTTGTGTTCCAATAAAACTTTATATACACTAACATCTACATTTCATATAATTTTCATGTGTCATTAAATATTTATTTTTATTTTTATTTCCCCCTCATAATTAAAAAAAACCACACAAACCAATCTTAGCTTGCAGGCTGTCCAAAAACAGATGGTAGGCTGGATTTGGCCTATCGGCCATAGTTTGTCGACCTCTGACTTGAATTAAGAGAAGCTGTGGAAAATTAGGGATGCCATACTGACCAAGTCCATGACCTAGCTCTTATTGCTGCTTGGAATTCTTTTATTCCCAAGGTATTACATTATTGTATTCTCTATAGTTGTCATTCTAAAAACTGCCTTCTTTTATTAAGACTCTCAGGTCATTTGGAGCCCTCTCCATTGTCATTTGATGACTTCCTTTTACTAAGGTCAAGATCTATCCAACAAGGGTTTATTTCAATTCCCTCCTCTCTACCTTAAAATTGCTTATATTCTAATTTTCTTTCTTTCCCTACACTCCTAACTCAGAACATTCCTTCTCTGGTTGGGAGGATTGTAGATCTCCTTGACTTCCTGATACTAAAAACACTTTAACCTCCTGAAATCTCACATTTAGCTTACATTTGCAAACTTTCCTTTTTGAAGTTCTTCCTCCCAGAAAATATATAATTCCTAACATTTATGTGCCCAACAACATAATGCCAATTAAAACCAAAAAAGAAAAAGAGTGAAAAATAGAAACAAAGAATGAGGGAAAAAATAGAAAACAGTAATAAATATGGTAGCTGCAAATCTACCTACAGTGTATCAATAATCACATTGTATGTAAATGCTCTAAATTCACCAATTAATAGATTAAAAACACACCCAACTATATACTGCCTACAAGAAATGCACTTTAAATATAAAGATACATACAGATTAAAAGTAGATAGAGAAAAATATACCATTATAACACTACTCAAAAGAAACTGGGAGTAGCTTGCATTAATTTCAGACAGAACAGACTTCAGAGCAAGAAAAGTTATCAAGGATAAAGAGGGGCACTACATGATAAAGGGGTCCATTTTCCAAGTAGATATAATAATCCTTAACATTTATATGTCCAAGAACAGATGTCAAAATACACGATAGAACTGCAAGAAGAAATACATGAATCTACTACTATAGTTGAAGACTTCAACACGCTAGTATTAGAAATGGACATATCCAGTAGGCAGAAAATCATTAAAGACATAGTAGAATTCAACACCACCAATCAACAGGTTATAATCACAATTTATCAACAATAGCAGAATACATATTCTTTTAAAGCTCACACGAAATACAGATATGCAGAAGACAGACTGCATCCCAGGCTATAAACACACATGAACAAAGTTAAAAGAATAAAAATCATATGCTCTCTACTCTCAAACCATAATGTAATTAAACTAGAAATCAACAATAAAAAGATAACTGGAAGATTCTAAAATATGTGGATATTAAACAATACACTTCTAAATGACACATACATCAAAGAAGAAAATGCAAGAGAAATTAGAAAATATTTTAAACTAAATAAAAATACAACTTGTGGAACGCAGAAGTGCTTGGAAAATTCACAGCATTAAATACGTATATTAGAAAAGAAGAAAGATCTAAAATCAATCATCTAAACTTCTATCTTAGGAAACTAGAAAAAAAAGAGTAAATTAAATCCAAAGTAAGCACTAAGAAAATAATTACCACAAAAATCAAGATAAAAACCAATGAAATCTAAAGTGGTTCTTTGAAAAAAAAAATCAATAAAACCAGTAAAACTTTAGCTACACTAAGAAAAAGAGAGGACCTAAATTACTAATAGCAGAAATGAAGGCCGGGCATGGTGACTTACACCTGTAATCCCAGCACTTTGGGAGGCCGAGGTGGGCGGATCACCTGAGGTTGGGAGTTCAAGACCAGCCTGACCAACATGGAGAAACCCCATCTCTACTAAAAATACAAAATTAACCAGGCGTGGTGGTGCATGCCTGTAATCCCAGCTACTCGGGAGGCTGAGGCAGGAGAATTGCTTGAACCAGAGAGGCGGAGGTTGAGGTGAGCTGAGATTGTGCCACTGTACTCCAGCCTGCACAACAAGAGCAAAACTCTGTCTCAAAAAAAAAAAAAGAAAAGAAAAGAAAAAAAAGAAATGAAACAGTGGTCATTATTACAGATCCCATGGACACTAAACAAAAGAATACTATGAACAACTCTGTGCTCTCAAACTTCATAAATTAGACAAAATGGACCAATTCCTTGAAAGACACAATCTGCTAAAACTGACACAAGAAGAAACAGAGAATCTGAAGAGGCCTACATGTGTTTTAAAATATTTAATCAATAATTTAAACCTTCCAAAGCAGAAGGACAGGCCCAGATGGGTTCACTGGTAAATTCTACCAATTACTTAAGGAAGAAAGTATACCAGTTCTCTACAGTATCCACCAGAGGCTAGAAGCAGAAGGAATACTTTCTAATTTATTATATGAGGCCAGCATCACTCAAATACCAAAACCAGACAACGACATTACAAGAAAAGAAACCAAGAGACCAACATCTCTCATTAATATAGATGCAAAAACCCTCAACAAATTATTAACAAATCGAAACCATTCATGCATAAAAAGAACTATACACCACAACCAAGTGGGATTTATCCCAGTTATGCAAGGCTGGTTCAAAATTTGAAAATCAATTAATGTGATCCATCACATCAACAAGCTGAGGAAGAAAAAAACCACATGATCCTGTCAATAGATGTAGAGAAAGCATTTCACAAAATCTAACATCTACTGATGATACAAACTCTTAGTAAACTAGGAATAGCGGGAAGTTCCTCAACTTGATAAAAAATAACACAAAAATCCTACAAGTAACATCTTAATGGTAAGAAACCTGAAGTTGTCCTACTAAGATCAGGAACTTTTCAACATCATATTCGAAGTTGATGCTAATTGCAATAAGAAAAGAAAAGAAAAAGTATATAGATTGGGAAGGAAGAAATAAAACTGTGTATGCAGATGATATGACTGTTTATGTAGAAAATCTGAAAGAATTGGCTGAAAACTACTGGAACTAGTAAGTGATTATAGCAATGTTGCAGGATACAAGGGCAATATACAAAGGCCAATCACTTTCCTGTATATCTGCATGGAACAAGTGGAATTTCCAGTTAAAAACACAGTAACATTTATATTAACACCCCTTAAAATGAAATATTTAGGTATAAGTCTAAAATAATATGTACAAGATCTATATGAGGAAAACTAAAAACTCCGATAAGACAATCAAAGAATAATGTAAAAATACTCTACATATATGGGTAAGAAGACGCAATATTGTGAAGATGTCAGTTCTTGCAAGATTGATTTATAGATTCAACGTAATCCCAATCAAAATCCCAACAATCTATTTTGTGGATATAGACAAACGGATTCTAAAGTTAATATAGACAGGCAAAAGACCCAGAATAGCCAATATTATATGGAAAGAGAAGAATAAAACTAGCAGACTGACACTATCCAACTTTGAGACTTACTATAAAGTTACAGGAACAGGACAGTGTGGTATTGGCAAAAGAAGGGACAAATAGATCAGTGGAACAGAATAGAGAGCCCTGAAATAGACCCGCACAGTCAACTGATGTTTGACAAAAAGACAAAGGGAATACTGGTGGAAAGATAGTCTTTTCAAGATATGTTGCTAGAGCAATAGGACATTCACATGCAAAAAAAAAAAAAAAAAAAGAATCTGAACACAGACTTACACCTTTGCAAAAATTAACTCAAAATAAATCATATACCTAAATGTAAAATGCAAAATTATAAAACTCCTAAGGATAACACATAAGACAATCTAGATAACCTTGGTCTGGGCCATGACTTTTTAGACAAAACAACAAACACATAATCCATGAAAAAAAGAATAAACTGGACTTCATTAAAGTTAAAAGTTTCTGCACTGTGAAAGACACCATCAAGAGAAGGAAAATAAAAACCCCAGACTGGGAGAAGATACTTGCAAAATACTTATCTCACGAAGGGTTGTTATCCAAAATATACAAAGAACTTTTAAAACTCAACAAGATAACAAACAACCCTATTAAAAAATGGGCTAAAGACCTTAATAGCCACATCACCAAAGAAGATACAGTGATGGCCAATAAACACGTGAAAAGATGCTCTGCATCATATGTCATCAGGAAAATGTAAGTTAAAACAACAATGAGATACCACTATACATGTATTAGAAAGGCCCAAATCCAGAACACTGGCAATGCCAAATGCTGGCAAAGATATGGAGTAACAGGAATTCTCATTCACTGCTGGTGGAGATGCATACCGATATAGCCACTTTGGAAAACAGTTTGGTGGTTTCTTCTTTTTTTTTTCCCCCACACTACACTGACACATTTCGTGGTTTCTTACAAAACTAAGCACTCTTACCATAAGATCACACTCTTTGCATATTTGCCCAAAGGAATTAAACACTTATCTACCCAAACAACTGCACAAGGATGTTTATAGCAGATTTATTCATAACTGCCATAACCTGGAAGCAAACAAGATGTCCTTCAGTAGGTGAACAGATGAACTGTGATACACCTCAGCAATAGAATACTATTCAGCACTGAAAGATATGAGCTATGAAGTCATGAAAAGACAGGGAGAAACCTTAAATGCACACTACTAAGTAAAAAAAGACAGTATGAAAAGACTACAAACTGTATGATTATGACATTTTGAAAAAGATAAAACCATGGAGACAGTAAAATAATATAGTAATGAAACTATTCTGAATGATACTACATTGATAGATATATACATTACAGATTTGTCCAAACATACAGAATGTACAACCCTTAAGAGTGAACTTGGACCAGAAATGAAAGTATTAAAAAGTAGCCGGACCAAGAGTGAACCCTAATGAAAACTATAGAGTTTGGGTGATAATGATTTGTCAGTGTAGATTCATCAATTGTAACAAATGTAGCACTCTGGTGGGGATGTTCATAATGGGGTAGGCTATACATGTGTAGGGGTAGGGGTTATATGAGCAATCTGTACCTCCTTTCAATTTTGCAGTGAACCCAAAACTGCTCTAAAAAATAAACAGCCACTTAAGCCATTTAAAAAACCAGTTTTATTGGAGCATAATTTACCTACAAAATTAACTAATTTTAAGTGTGCAAGTTCATAAGTTTCAACAACTGTTTTGGCCATGCAACTGTGACTATGATCTTAACATCATTCCCATCACTCCCAAAAACTCTCTGTGCTGCTGCTTTTCAGTCAGTTCTCTCATTCCACCCCTGGCTCTTGGCAACTATTGATTGGATTTGTGTCATTAGTTTTGCCTTTTCTATTATGTCACATAAATGGAATCAAACACTATGTAGTCTTTTGTGTTTGTCTTCTTTCAACATAGAACTTTTATAATAAAAATATTTTCCACATATAAGTAGTTTCCTCCTTTTTTATTGCTATGTAGTATTCCATGGCATGTGTAAACTCAAATTTAGTTTGATGCACTAGTTGTTTCAGCTTGGGGACATTAGAAATATAGCAGCTATAAACATTTACACAGAAGTCTTTATATGTATATAGGTTTTTCATTTCTCTTGAGTAAATAACTAGAAATAGGAATGCTGGGTCTTATACTAAGTTTATGTTTAACCTTCTTAAAAACTGTCAAACTGTTTGACACAGTCACACAAAGTGACTGTGATTCTGCATTCACATAAGCACTGTGTGGACATTTGAGTTAACTGACAACCTTACCAACACTTGGTAATATCCGTGTTTTAAAATCTAGCCATTCTAGTGGTTGTAGTGGTAATGAATTTTGGTATAATTTCCATTTTCCTGGTGATTAATAATGTTTAGCATCTTTTCTTGTGCTTATTGGTCATCTGTATTTCTACTTTCATGAAGTGGCTGTTCAAATCCTTTGGCCATTTTAAAAAATGTTAAATTGAGTAGCTTGTCTTCTTAAGTTGCAAGAGTTCTGGATGTAAGCCCTTTATTAGATATGTGGTTTTCAAATATTTTCCTCAAGACTATGGCTTGTCTTTCTCCTTTATTAACAGAAGAGCAATTTTTTTTTTTATTTTGAGTAAAGTCCAATTTAACGAGTTTTTCTTTTTGTCCCCCAACTACCAGCCAAGTTGGAATATCAAGTTTTTCTTAGGCCAGGTGTGGTGGCTCATGCCTGTAATCCCAGCACTTTGGGAGGCTAAGGTGGGTGGAGTGCCTGAGGTCAGACCAGCCTGACCAACATGGTGAAACCTCGCCTCTACTAAAAATACAAAATTAGCCGGGCGTGGCGACGCATGCCTGAAATCCCAGCTACTTGGGAGGCTGAGGCAGGAGAATCACTTGAACTGGGGAGGTGGAGGTTGCAGTGAGCAGAGATCGTGCCCACTGCAGCACTCCAGCCTGGGCAACAAGAGCAAAACTCCAGCTCAAAAAAAAAGAAAACAAGTTTTTCTTAATGGTTCACGTTCTTTATGTCCTATTTATGCAACCTTTGATAACTCAAGGTTTCTAAGGTTTTCCCTTTTTTTCTAGTTTTTGATCTTACATTTAGATGTATGAATTACAAATTAATTTTTGTATGTATGAAGTAGGGGTGGAGGTGCACTTTTTTGTATATGGTATCTAAATGGTTTAGCAAGATTTGTTGAAAAGATTATCATTTCCTCACTGAACTATCTAGGCACCTTCATCTCCCTTTTTCAAAATTGTTTTGGATGTTCTGGTCCTTTCGATTTCCATGTAAATTTTAGGTTAGCTGATTAGACTACAAAAAAAGTCTGCTGAGTTTTTGATCAGAATTGCACTGACTCTGTAAGTCGGTTTGGGAAAATTTGACACTACAGCAAAATTAAGTGTTCAAATCTATGAACATGATATCTTACTCCACTTATTTAGGTTTTTGTTTTTCCTCAGCAATATTTACTAGTTTTCAGTGTACAGGTCCTGTACTTGCTTCATATTTTGTTAATTTTATCCCTAAGTATTTGATGTTTTTCTGCTGTTGTAAAGGTTTATTTTAGAAAATTTCCAAGTTTTAAATGTATAGCGCTAACATACAGAAATACAATTAAATTTTTTCATAGTAACTTGTATCCTATAATCTTGCTAAAGTTACTTAAAGTTTTTGTAATTTATTTGTAAATTCTAGCCATGGCATTTTCAGAAAACCTCCTGGAGCCTTAATTTCCTCATACAAAGCAATTATGAGAAATAAAAACTGAGAATAAAATTAATTAAACAAAACTCCTAAAACATTTAGCACAATATTACTCCACAGCAATTATTAAATCTCTTCCCAAATTTCAGGGCACTTACTACAGGTTTCAGCATTCTTGATATATCCCAAATCTTTATGTATAGGCTTGTTCTTTCTCCCAGGTTCGAGATCCTTATTCTTATATGTCAACTCTATTTCTATACCTAAATGGTGCTTTAGCATTTCAAGTACAATTCCTAAATCAAAATTATAGCCTTCATTAACACATGAATCACTTCTGTTTTCTCAAAGTCCTATTTCTGATAATGAAATCACTATCATCTCAAACTACCCAGAAAATTCTGCAGGAATCATTGATAACTCTCCAAGATACTTTCAATTATTGTCAGTTACTGAATCCCGTAATAATCACAATAGCTAATATTTAACACATTATGTAACAAACACTATCTCTAACACTCATTTAATCCTCACAATTCTATAAGTTACTATTATTATATTTTATACATGAGGAAACTGAGACATAGAGGTTAAGTAACTTCCCTGAAGTCATGCACCCAGGAACAATAGAGCCAGTATCATAACCTCCTAGGCTATTTACCCTCCAGAAACTGTACTCTTAAACGTAACTTATATTGCCTCTATTGTAAGAGGATCCATCTGTTAGTGGTGATACAGGGACTGGGTGCTATTAAATGATATTAGGGTGAATTCAAAAAATGTCTAAATGCTTTATTAAAATAAGCATTCCCTTACCATGAGGCTTCTGAAAAAGGGGCTAGTAGCTAACAGGAAATAAAATTATGACTATGTTATTAGTTGGGCTTGCAGTAAAAACTCCAACTAAGAGTTCTTGCGTAGAACTCTGATAAGGTTTAAGAGAGGATATTAGCATGTATATATGGCAGAAGACTGACAAGTGGTGCAAGTGAGCTCCAACCTATTTTTCCAGAGCTAGGAAAAGATGATGTGGAAGGGGAAGCTCTAATCATGACTGCAATCTTTTAGAGAAAGATCACTTGAGGCTGGTCGCGGAGGCTCACGTCTGTAATCTCAGCACTTTAGGAGGCCGAGGCAGGTGGATCACAAGGTCAGGAGTTCAAGACCAGCCTGGCCAACATGGGGAAACCCTATCTCTACTAAAAATACAAAAATTAGCCAAGTGAGGTGGTGGGCACCTGTAATCCCAGCTACTCAGGAGGCTGAGGCAGGAGAATTGCTCGAACCCGGGAGGTGGAGGTTGCAGTGAGCCAAGATTGCGCCATTGCACTCCAGCCTGGGCGACAGAGCAAGACTCCATCTCAAAAGAGAGAGAGAAAGAGAGACAGAGAGACAGACAGACAGACACCACTTGACTAGAAACATGGCCCAAACTATATTTTGGAATATGATCTAAATGCATTAAAAATTTTTTTCTTTGTGAGGGATGGAGGATGGCAATAGAGAACAGGTGGAAAAATCTCTACCACCCATCACGTCCAAGTTGTATTTCTAAAACCAATTTTCCCATCTTTATTATCTATGCCACCATCCAATTCAGGCCATAGTTACCAATCATCTGGACTTCAGGAACTCCTATTCAGGGCATCTTGAATTACCATAAATATATATACATATATTACTGCCAAGCTAATTCTCTAAAATGTAAATCTCATCATGTCAGCCCTCACTGCACACTGAAGTAAATAAAAGCTCTTTATTCTGACATTCTACCAAAAAATGAAACTGTCTATCCTTATCTCCTATCTACTTGTACACTCTGAATCAGGTGAATGAATTATCTGTTTTTTTTTTTTTTGAAAATTCTTTTGTTTCTTCTATATTTAGGTTTACAAAATTTTTGGAATAGTCTTCTCTTATATCTGCATGTCAAATTTCACACTTCAAATGCTTGTTTCATGTACCACCTCTTCTAAAAGGCCATTTCCAAAACAGATAGGGACATTCACAGCCTACAACAGACTTCTTAACATATATAAAATTTTGCTTTAAAATATAAATATGTATATATGTATTTCAGCTCTTTCAAAACTGAAATTGTTTTAATTTTTAAAATTCTCTACAGTGTGTCATGCACAAAGGTTCAATAAATATTGACTTGAACAATTTCTAGCCCACCATAGGAAAGTTTAGAGAGATACTTTGGCATTTTATTTCTCTTTCCATAGTCCATACTCCAACAAAGAGAAATCTGAGCACACGTACATATTTTTCTCCAGATTCTCATCTGAAACCATGGGGAGAGATACGTTTCTCTTTTGCCTTTTGATGTACTCAGTAAAGTGCTGAGTTCATAATGTTGGCTCTCATTTAAAATAAAAGGAAACAAGGCAAGCAACATTAAACATTTGAAATCGACAGGAAGGGAATGTTAGGTTCATCTATACATTAAAGAATTAAGGAAGGCAGAGAACAGTTCATAGAATGGGCTATGGAGACTTAATTCTCACAGGAAAAAGGCAGTCATGGTAATTAATTTCCATTAGGTTCTATTATAAAATGGTAATGGAAAATGAGTTTAGCTATATGGAATTGTATGTCATGTACAATTATGTGGGAACAAATTTATAACATTTATCAGATGGTATCTGCAATTAAAAATTCATAAAAGTGCTTATACAATTAAATTATAATTTTTACAAACAAAATTAATAAAAAGAAAAAAGATAACTTTTTCATAATTCTACCTAAATAAACTCAAAAGAATTACTATTGCTAGTCTTTTTTATTGAAAACTCATGAAATATTTGAGCCATTTAAGTCAATACTGCTCTAGTGGTCTCTATCATTAAAGATATATATATATGTGTGTGTGTGTGGAGGTGGGGGGTTAAGTAGCCACAACCTTTAGCTATGCCTTGGTATACCTTATACTTTATAAACAGTGTCTAAAACTTGTGGAATGAAAACTCATACATAAGAATAAAGAGAGGCGATCAGAGCTAATAACTTTCTTATAAGTGGAATGCTTTATTTTTTATTTTTTTATTATTTATTTTTTATTATTATTATTATACTTTAAGTTTTAGGGTACATGTGCACAATGTGCAGGTTAGTTACACATGTATATATGTGCCATGCTGGTGTGCTGCACCCATTAACTCGTCATTTAGCATTACGTATATCTCCTAATGCTATCCCTTCCCCCTCCCCCCACCCCACAACAGTCCCCAGAGTGTGATGTTCCCCTTCCTGTGTCCATGTGCTCTCATTGTTCAATTCCCATCCATGAGTGAGAACATGCAGTGCTTGGTTTTTTGTCCTTGCAATAGTTTACTGAGAATGATGATTTCCAATTTCATCCATGTCCCTACAAAGGACATGAACTCATCATTTTTTATGGCTGCATAGTATCCCATGGTGTACACGTGCCACACTTTCTCAATCCAGTCTACCATTGTTGGACATTTGGGTTGGTTCCAAGTCTTTGCTATTGTGAATAATGCCGTGATAAACATACGTGTGCATGTGTCTTTATAGCAGCATGAATTATAGTCCTTTGGGTATATACCCAGTAATGGGATGGCTGGGTCAAATGGTATTTCTACTTCTAGATCCCTGAGGAATCGCCACACTGACTTCCACAATGGTTGAACTAGTTTACAGTCCCACCAACAGTGTAAAAGTGTTCCTATTTCTCCACATCCTCTCCAGCACCTGTTGTTTCCTGACTTTTTAATGATTGCCATTCTAACTGGTGTGAGATGGTATCTCAAGTGGAATGCTTAATATTTAGTTAGGGTACAGACAATAATGGGGAAGAAGTAGTTTCATCTTTTTTTTTTTTTTTTTTTTTTTACTTTTTGGGAGAGCTGGGGTCTCACTATGTTGCCCAGCCTGGTTTCAAACTCGTAGCCTCTAGTGATCCTCCCACCATGGCCTCCCAAAGTGTAGGGATTACAGGAATGAATCACTGCACCCAGCCATGGAAGAGGTTGTTTCTATAATGAAGAGGTGATATTGGTTATACTGGATACCAAGTTGAAGTATCTGCTGACTTACTTCTTAATCAAATGTATGGCTTAACCAATGGCAAAACATGACACAAAAGAATAGACATGTTTTGTTACACCAACATACAGAACATTCCATTCTTATAAATGACAGGTTATTTATCATACCTTGACTTTCCTGTAAACTACTTATATAAACTATTTTGAAGCTAACATTTCATTGTCATTTACAGGTACGTGAGTACCTTTACAGGTATGTGAGTTCCTTTACAGGTTTGCATATGGATAGCCTATCAGACTAGGATGATCTGGGTGCATTCTTGCCTGAAGGCAAGGAGAAATAGTCTTTTTTTTTTTTTTCTTTTTTAATAAAGAGACAGGGTTTTATTCTGTTGCTCAGGCAGGGGCATAGTGGCACCATCTTAGCTCAGTGCAGCCTTAAAGTCCAAGGCTCAAGGGATCCTTCAACCTCAGCCTCCTGAGGAGCTGAGATTATAGGCACATGCCCACTCTGCGTGGTTAATTTTTTTGTATGTGTGCAGAGATGGGGTCTCACTTTGTTGCCAGGCTGTTCCTGAACTCCTGGCCTCCAGTAATCCTCCTGCCTCAGCCTCCTAAAGTGTTGGGATTACAGGTGTGAACCACCACACACAGCCCAGAGATGTTATTATTTTGTGCATCTGCCATCTTCATGATTTTAGACAAAAAGAATTTTAGAAACCATAGGCATCATTACATGCAGAGAATCTATGAATAATCTAGCCAAGAGAAATTCACATTTGGGGTCCAAGTGAATTAAAACATTTGAATTTTAATGATAGATATGCGACTGTCTAATTAAGCTTTGCTATTTGAAGACGCATAAACTAATTTTCTACTTTTTACAAAAAATACCGACACTTTCCATTTGTAAAATGAAAACACACTACCTTGGAGTTTTAAAAAGCACATCAATTTTAAAACACATGGATCTTCTTTATAATTTACAAAAAGATGCAAGAAAAATCCCAATTGAATGAGTTGCTAACAATTAGAATATACAGTAAGTTGAGGAAAGGGGACTCTTTCTTTAGAGAGCTCATTGTAATAGTGAAGTTTACTCATCTGCATAAAATATTTTTTTACCAGATCTAGTCAGAGACTGCTCTACCTTTATGGTGCTGAAAAGAGAACATAGACACATCTTACTTTAAAAATCAACTAACTAGATGATGGTAATAATAATAGTTAATATTTTTTGAGTACTTTAAATAAAGAATTTCATTTAATTCTATTAATAACTGTATTAGTCCATTTTCATGTGGCTGATAAAGACATACCTGAGACTGGATAATTTACAAAAAAAGAGGTTTAATGGACTTACAGTTCCACATGGCTGAGGAGGCCTCCTTGTGAAGGCAAGGAGGAGCAAGTCACATCTTTTGTGGATGGTGGCAGACAAAGAGAGAGAGCTTGTGCAGGGAAGCTCCCATTTTTAAAACCACCAGATCTTGTTAGACTTATTTACTATCACAAGAACAGCATGGGAAAGATCTGCCCCCGTGATTCAATTATCTTCCACCTGGTCCCTCCCACAACACATAAGAATTATGGGAGCTACAAGGTGAGATTTGGGTGGGGACACAGACCCAAACCATATCAATAACTGTATGAAGCACAGACTTATATATTGGTTGTTTTTCCTTTCATTTACAGTAATATACTTTCAATGGCTAAAATGAATTCAGCATATCTTCACATCTAGCAATAATTTCTACAGAAGCAGAAACTAAGTGATCATACATCTGGGATATATAATACAAAGATACACATTATGCATAAACATTTATTAAAATCAGGAATCACTTGAATGAAAAAAATAAGGAACGAAAATAAAACATGAAATAGTCATTATAAGAGCATCCCAAATCTAAAGGATCTCAAACACAGTAGAGCAAAATTTAATTGCTAGCAATTAAATGGCCTAAATGAAGCTAACATAGCTTGTCTAAAGCTAGGTTTTTATACTGTATCTGTTAAAAATGTATAACTACTGTTTCTTTAATCTTAATGTCACTGTCATGATGTTCTTAAAGAATGTTATTAAAAGTCACACAGGAAGACTTTTAAGTCATAATAAATGTATGTCATAGATCAAATGGCAGATTCTAGAATCTCTAAGGTATGATTTTGTTCAACAGCTAGTAGGTTGAAAGATAGTCCATAGAAATATCATAGAATTTCAGTAACTCCTAAAATTAGAAAATTTTAGTTAAATCATTTCAAAATAAAATGTTACCTTTATTGAAGAACTCAAGTAAATATAATTCACATGAATTAAAAGGTATATGTGGTAGGTTGAATGGTGCCCCCAACCCTGCCAAAAAAGAGAAGTCCATGTCCTAACTCCCAAAAGCTGTGACTATTACCTTATTTGGAAAAAGAGTCTTTGTAGATGTGATTAAGTTAAGCATCTTGAGATGAGAGACCTGTCCTGAATTATCTGAGTGTGCCGTACATGCAATCAGATATATCCATATAAGAGGCACACAAAGGAGAAAGCCACATGAAGACAGAGGCAGAGACTAGAGTGATACGGTTACAAGCCAAGGAAGCCAAGGAATGCCTGGAGGCCCCCAGAAGCTGGAAGAAGCAAGCAAAGGATTACCCCTAGAGCCTTAGGAGACAGTAAAGCCATGTCAACATCTTAGTTTCAGAGTTCTGGCCTCTAGAATGGAGAATAAATTTCTGTTGTTTTGCCACCAAGTTTTGGCAATTTATCATTGCAACCCTATGAAATTAATACAGTATAGTTTTAAATTGTGTTGTTTTTGATGTGTATATTTGAGAACAAAAATATACCTACTGATGTTCAACTTCACACATATTATGCTTCATATACTGTTTACTAAGTATAACATACTGGTGTGGCAGAAAGAACAACTGGGATGGGAACAAAGAGAACAGATGTGTAATTATGGCTCCGTTTCTAGTAACAGTGTAACTGAGGACAAGCCATATTACTTCTTTAGACTTGTTTCCTCATTTGCAAAATGAATGCAATGCTTGCAATCATCTTGAAGCATTTTTCAAACTAAATTTTTATGAACTTTTAAAGTGTTAAAAATAATAAGACACAGTGTAAAAATTATAGTAACAAAAATCAAGCATATTTAAAAGATAACAGTAGATAGATTGGCCACTGAAATTTGCCAGAAGATTCACAGGATTGCATAAATTTATACAAGGTAATTATTAAATACTTATTCAGAGCTGGCAACTATGTAAAATTCTCTATATAAATTGCTAGTTTTTACAAACATAAAGTTTTAGTCAAACGGCCAGAACTGTGCCGGGCTTCATGTTTTCTAATAGAAACACGGCCTGAATGGCTTACAGAAAACATACTACTGCCTATTATGCAGGCATTAAAATAGCTAATACGTATAGAACAGTTAAACAATGCTAGGCATAGTAAAAGTTTAATAAATATTAACTTTATTATTATCTAGGATACATCATATATTCTCTTCTCTAAAGTATCTTCTATCCATAAAAGGACCTCACATCTACAACTTTTTAAGATAATGTTAACAGGGTTTATGTAGTAACAAAATTTAAAAATGGTAACCATTTTTTTGCTCCTCCAAAACATACATTTCCAATCAATCCTGTTTCCTTTTACTGAAAGAACTTTTCATGATGACTACACCACTGAAGTATAATTTAGAAGCAGTCTCTAAAACTGGAAGTAATGTTCATCTAAATTTGCCTGCCAAGTTTAAAAATGTATTAGAAGTTAAACTGAAACATGTTGAAAATGACTCATTGTGGACCAGAATATACACTGTAGGAAATAAGAGCTCATTTACAAGTGGGAGAAATACACTCACACTTCATCTGTGGTAATTCTCTGGACTTTCCTTCCAGTAAACATCATATTTTAAAATAATCGTGGAAAATAATCTTACCCTTAACTTTAGTTTTTATGAGTTGATTTAGTTAGCTGGCATCCCAATTTTTCATACGTCTTTTTTTGGATGTGGGTATATTTACCAAATGTAAATCTATAAAAAGTTCCCCCTATGGCAACAGAGCAGCAGCCTATAAAGAAAGCTGTATGAACACACACACATGCACGCACATGCGCACACACACAACTCACTCTTACTTTCTCTGGTTTTCAGTTCACAAGCATAATGACCAACTATGACGCTAGATTTCTAAGAAACATCCTAAAAAATGTGCACACATATAATGTTTCCTTCATCCACATCATTTCCTTTTGATGCTATTGATGAATAATCGGAAGAACATGTACTTGAGTTCTTTTTCTAGTAACACTTACATATTTGTATTGATTCAGTCTACTCTCTCAACGTGTAACCCCGAATTACACATTTGGGAGGCAGCTGGCTAGACTTAGAAAAGACCATGGAACACCCCATCCTCCTCACTCTCAAGCAAGGTCTGTAAGATGAATGAACCTGATTTTTAAGCTAATTTATGAGTCACACACTTAAATATATATCCGTAATTGTAACTTTAATGTGGCCTTAAGCAGGATTTAGTTAATAAGTGCTTATGAATTAACAACATGATTCCAACTTGTTTATATTTTCTGAGTTTAGTTTCCTTGCTTCATCAAATGTGTTTTGAAGCAGGAACCATAATAAGCAATTAACTGAATTATCTGTTCAGCATGCTTTTTATTTAGAACTTTATCTAGACAGTATACATACCCCTAAACCATGTTTTTAAAATGTGATCATTGCCTCTGGCAACAGTTGAGCTGCCTAGGCTGGGCATGGAACCCAGAATGGGAAAATAAGCACTTTCCCTCTTGGAAATCTCACACGTAAAGATTTTTGAGTATATCTTTATTGTGTACATAGTGTCATTACAGAGGGATTCTCAAGGTTCTGAATTATTTTAAGACAATCCTTAATAAATTATTGCAGAATAGTTTTAATTCTGTATTACTTTGTCTTTTTTCCATCTTTAAAAATCCTCAGTCCCTTTTTTTTTTTTTTTTTTGAGACGGAGTCTCACTCTGTCGCCCAGGCTGGAGTGCATTGGCGAGATCTCTGCTCATTGCAAGCTCCGCTTCCTGGGTTCACGCCATTCTCCTGCCTCAGCCTCCTCAGCAGCTAGGACTACAGGTGCCCACCACCACGCCTGGATAATTTTTTTTTTTTTTCATTTTTAGTAGAGATGGGGTTTCACCGTGTTAGCCAGGATGGTCTCAATCTCCTGACCTCGTGATCCGCCCACCTTGGCCTCCCAAAGTGCTGGGATTACAGGCGTGAGCCACCGCGCCCTGGCCCTGAGTCACTTATTAATGTGGAAAAAATTTTATTTTTTAATCCAAACTGTATTTCTTTTCCTATATACATGGTGTGTTTGTCACATTTACAATTGCTATTAGAAAAGATGGGTGTAGCCTTCTTCCATCTTAATTTATGGTCTCTGTTTTTTTACTTCTTTGGTGTTTGCTTTGCTGTCTGTCCTTTGTTATATAGCCTGTGATTGATCTTTTTCCTCCCTCTGGTAGTATGCAAAATATATAGTCTGTTCCATTTATAGTTTTAAATTATATATTAAAACATGTATTTCTTCATAAAACTATTGATTCTTTCATGAAATCTGAGAACATTATATATGTACAAACACTATTTCTCTTACCATCAATTCCCTAATTTTAGTTGCAAGTTTCTGCTATTTCGCCTCTACTTCTATTATTTTTATGTTATAATTTCTTGTTAACAATTATGATTACAATCTTTTGTAACCAAAATGACAAAGGTCATTAAGATTACATTTTACACTAAACGTTCACTTCCAGTTCTTCTTTACCCTGACATCTCAGTCCATGAGTTCTTTGATTCTTTCCTTCTTTGGTGAAGTTACAATTTCCAGTAGGTTTTTCAGGAAGGCCTTATAGGTAATATGTTTCATGGGACCTCACATGACTGATTCCTTCTCATCTTTCAGACTGCAAACCTCCCTGAATCATACTCAATTTCATATATTTCAAATAACTGCTACTCTCTAAAAATTATTGTTATTTGTATATTTTCTGATTTACATCACAGAAATACAAGTTCCATTAAGACAGAGAGCCTTTCATCTTGTCAAACCCTTAATCACAGTGCCTGAAAATGGTGCTTGGTGGTTAATAAATATTGCTAAATAAATAAAGTATTATTATGGAAGAAAACCTTGAGCTCAACCAAATTAATTAATTTATTTATTTGAGATGGGCATCCCACTATGTCACCTAGGCTGGTCCTCAACTCCTGGACTTTAGCGATTCTCTTGCCTCAGCCTCCCAAGTACCTGGGTCTATAGGCATGCCACTGCATGCAGCTTAGATTTATTTTTTCCTTAGTAAATGACTTACTTATTTTGCGCAGATACTTCTAATTCTATTCCTTTAACATTCATGTTCTGTAACTTCACTTAGATTTACAACATTGCTGTTTCCCATCCTCTTCCCACTACCCAGAATGTGATGAGTTCTTCTAAATTGCAGATTCCTTATTTCAGAAAATGTTTTCTTCTATTGAATCTCTAAATGTTTTTTTTCCTGGTCCATTTTGTTTTCTTCCCTTGGCACACTGAAGATGAATATATACTGTCTGTCCTCCCTGTCAATTACTTTTTCTCTAACTGTTTTCATCACTTTATTCTTTTTTCTGCTCTAGAAACCTCCAGCCTCAAATTACCAACATGGTTTTCTGGAACTCCCCTGACCCTAAATACTATTTCTCTTCCATTCCTTTTTATTTCTATACTATCATTTTCATATATAGTTTCTCTCATTAGTTTCTACCATCTTATTCTGTTGCCATATTTTTCGCTTCAAAGATTGCTGTGTTTTTTCTGATCACTTGAGGTCAGGAGTTTGAGGCCAGCCTGGCCAACATGGCGAAACCCCATACCTACTAAAAATACAAAAATTAGCCAGGTGTGGTGGCACACACCTGTAGTCCCAGCGACTCAGTAGGCTGAAGCATGAGAACTGCTTGAACTCTGGGAGGTGGAGGCTGCAGTGAGCCGAGATCATGCCACTGCACTCTGGCCTAGTAGCAGATTAAAATATAAAGATAAAAGTATATAGAAATATGAAAAAAAGCACTGAAAGGAAATTTAGGACAGCTGATTTCTTTATCAAGCTTTAAACTAGCCCAATATGACATAAAAATCACTTACTCTGCTTATCTGATTTCCCATGCCTTCTTATTTTGGCCTTGTACTAATACAAAATGAGGACAAAAATCCTACCATTACCAGAGAAGTTGGGATTGAAAACATAATTTCAAACAATATTAATTTAAAAATACTTGCAATGAAAATTCTTTTAAAATACATAATATATGTACATAATATATATTCTTATATGTAATAATTATTACATTTTTTGTAGAGATGAGGTTTCACTATGTTGCCCAGGCTGGTCTGAAACTCCTGGGCTCAAGTAATCCTCTCACCTTGGCCTCCCAAAGTGCCTGGATTACAAGTGTGAGCCACTGTACCTTGCATAGAATATATTTTTTTAAATAAAACAAACCATAACTGAAAAAAGTTCACTATTAAAATTAATTTTGAATTGCAACCTTACATTTTAGATCCCAATATAGTATTCTATGTAGTAGCCCACGAATGTAACAGTGTATTCAATTTATTCTACTACAAACACTGAATTTTAAAATTTCTACTTTTTGGAAGAAAGAATCTTAGGAGTACATGCAGGGATTCAAAGCAACAGAATACGACATAATAACTGTTCATGTTCATGAAAACTGGGTATTTGTTACTTATCAAATTGTTGAGCTTGAATTGGGACATACATGAGTCTTTTATTTGCCTGAGAAAAGTCCTTTCCTTTGTAGAAAAGAAAAGTCTTTGAGTAAAAAGCCATTTTCACTCGTTTGAAAAATGGCACACCGTTTCCATACATTTCTCTTTATAACACAGGTTGTTTAATCATAAAAATGTGGCATTTGATAAATAAAAACTTCTAACATAAATGAAAAAGATGAGACAAATTATACCTGACTAGAAAATTATGTATAGGCATGCCAGAGGCTTTACTTAAGCATGATTCAGGGAAATCACATTCCGCATAAAGATTAAAACATAGGAAGTGACAAAGGAAGCCAGAATCACATATTTGAATATTAAAAATTTAACCTCTGAAGAATAAAATATTTTTCCTTAAGCTTCACTATATACAAAATATATACGATATTCCCAAAATATATGAGTTTAAACACATAGGCAACATAGGCACTCTATACTCAAAATAACTTCAGTAGATTCTCTGTCTCTCTACTGTCACACACACACACACACACACACACACACACACACACACACACACCCCTAAAAAAACACAGGGAAAGCGAACTACAGAAATCTTTTAAATAATATCCTCAAAATTAGCTTGTGTTCACCATTTCTTTTGCATGGTAATTTAATGAGTGCGTCAACTCTTTTACACGGTTGTCACATCAGGATGAAAGGGGGCTTTAAACTCATCAAGCTACCCACTTGATGCTTCAACCTTTACAAGCACATTTCTACTGAATTTGGCTTATGCCTGAATACTTCTACTGATAGAGAATGTATCAGATGCTAAGGCATTGTGAAAAGTCCTACTATCTTTACGCTTTCTTGTAGTGATTACCCAGTGGTCCCAATTCTACTACTTTATGTCTTGCCAAGTAAGAAATCCAGCTTTTTCATATGTGAACGCTTAAAATACTTGTAGGTAGTTACAGCCTAGCACTAATAGGGCACTTTTGAATCTTTTTGCAGTTATGGCCATATTCCTCTGAAGACCTTTTAGTTTAAAGCTTGGGTGCCCAGTTATCAGCATAATTCTATAGGTAAGGTAATTACAGATCACATTCTACATATAACTTCTATTACTGTAGGATAATATCTCCATATTGAAACCATGCAGGTCATTTTCACATTTCACATCTAAGCCTATAAACCTATAAACCATAGGTTTTCTGGACCCAACTGCATGATCTTACATTTATTCCTATTAAAATTCATTCAGTTAATTACTTCTGCCTGAAAAGATCTATTAGATCCTTACTTCATTATTCAATTAATTTGTTGTTATTGTTTTATATCAAATTTGTTAAATATGGTTTTAATTTTTCCTGAAATCACTGACAAAAATGCAGAAATATAGTACTGCAGGATATTATAGATGAGTACCATATACCCATTTTTTAATTAATAATTCTCTAACAACATTTGGATAAAGCCCTTCAGTAGTTACTAATCCATTTACCTGGCCTTGAATTGCTCCCATATTTTCCCCATATTGTTTAAAAGGATGTCATGGAAAGTCTTATCAAATCCCTTGTTCCCTATCTAACTCATTTCCATGCTTTACCCCTGCAATATATCTCTTAAAAATTGAAATGTAGTCTTCTTTATTTTTAGAGAACCCATCCTAACTCTTGGTGATACTTGCTTCTTTCAGCAGCAATCTTAAAAACCATTGCAAGCATGGCTGCTTACTGAGCATAATCTATGCCATACACTTAAAATATATTATATCTAAGGCTCAAAGCAATCCTAAATGGTTAGAAACATCACGTCTGACAATGAAAAAAGCAAAGGTTTATCAAAGTACTTACATCCATTATAGTTAAAAAAAGTCAAGTAATTTGCTTAAAGTTTATGTAAGATTGCATCAAATTATTAGAGTATAATTTATCAAAATATGTTATGTAATGTAATCTACTAATATGTTCCTTAATAGTTGCAAGAATCTACTACCTTCTTCCCTTTTATGAAAACAAGATGGTATTTGTTGACTCCCTTTATTCACTCCCATTGTTCACCAGGAGTATTAAAAACATAATTTCTGAAGTTTCTCAGTAACTATGATTTGAAACTTGTATATAAGTATTCTTAATAACCACTCTTTGTTTAAATTTAATTAAAAACACACAAAAAAGAAAAAAACACATTGTAAGTTTCAATATGTATGAGGTACAAAAGAGGGTACATATTTATGAGGTACAAAATCTCTATCTGTCCACCAACCATGCAACACCTAATTTCCTTCTCCAGAAGCAATAAATGTTAATAGATTTTTCCTGGTCCTGATATAAAGAGCCACTTACTTCCTTTTGTACAACTACATTGTTGTATTCTGTAAGAGTATTCATGAATTACAATTCTTTTAACTACTGCTTAAATGTCAACTATGCTACAGTAAATAAGGTGGTATATATAGCATTTTGAACCTAGCAAGTATACCTGCAGGATAACGTACTAGAAATAAAATTCCTTGATCAAGAGCAATGTATGGCTGGGCGTAGTGGCTCACGCCTGTAATCCCAGCACTTTGGGAGGCTGTGGCGGGCAGATTACTTGAGGTCACGAATTCGAGACCAGACTGGGCAACATGGCAAAACCCCATCTTTACTAAAAATACATAAATTAGCCGGGTGTGGTGGCACGTGCCTGTAATCCCAGCTACTCAGGGGGCTGAAGCACGAGAATCACTTGAACCCGGGAGGCAGAGGCTGCAGCGAGCAGAGATTGTGCCACTGCACTCCAGACTGGGCAACAGAGTGAGACTCCATCTCACATAATACATACACACACACACACACACACACACACACACACACAATGTACATTTGTACTTCTGATAGGTATTATCGAATTACTCTTCATATTAGTTGTACCAATTTAAACTCCCACTAATGTTAAGATTGCCTGTTTTTCCATACCCACGCAAACACAATGTATTATCAACCTTTTGGTTTTTAGTGGAAAACAGGCATAGTTTGTTTTTGTTTTTGTTTTTGTTTTGAGACAGAGTTTCACTCTTGTAGCCCAGGCTGGAGTGCAATGGTGCAATCTCGGCTCACTGCAACCTCTGCCTCCCAGGTTCAAGCGATTCTCCTGCCTCCACCTCCCAAGTAGCTGGGATTACAGGCACGTGCCACTATGCCAGGCTAATATTTTGCATTTTTAGTAGAGACAGGGTTTTGCCATATTGGCCAGGCTGGTTTTGAACTCCTGACCTCAGGTGATCCAACCAACTCGGCCTCCCAAAATGTTGGGATTACAGGCATGAGCCACCATGTCCAGCTGAAAATAGGTATAATTTTAATATGAATTTAATGTTGACTTATTGATTTGGAGAAGGGAAAATCAGTCACATGACTGTGACAGACGTTGCAAATATTTTTTCCAAGATTACATTTGCATTTGTTTTTTGACTTTCCTTATGGCAGTAATGCCACACCAACATTTTTCATTTGTAGGGAATCAAGTTTATCAATTTATTACTTCTATAACTCCTAAGTTGCAAAGGCCTTTTGTAATTCAAGATTATAAAAACATTCTCCTATGGCTTCTTAGGTTTTTAATGGTTTTACATTTAAATCTCTGATCCATATGAAATTTATCTTGGTGTAAGTTATGAGGTATGGATCTCAATTTTCTTTTCCCCTTAGCTGGCTACCCTAGTGACCTGTCACAATTCATTGTTCTTATTTAGAAATGCACTTACTTAATTTTTCCATATAAGCCACAGAACTTATTTGTCTGGTTTCAAAAAAATATTTTTGGTATTCTATTTGGCTTACATTAAATGCATAGTTTAACTTAAGGAAACTGACATTTTCATGAAAAATAAAATTAGTTCTCTATGTACACTACCCCAAAATTGAACTTCACATGAAGGCATAACGTAAAAACTGTAACTATAAAAATTTATATGGAAGAGTAAATGTACAAGAATGGGCATAATAATTGTGAAAAAGAATTTTTAGTGTTGGTTTGTCAAGTTTCAAAGTCATTTGAAAATTTTGACATGAACTGCACTGAATTTATATATTAATTAAGAAAGAATTAAACTGATGGTACATCTAGAATTCTACTTTTAAAAATGTCATTTATCAACATTACAGTCCTAACCAGGGATACTTTTCCCTTCATTTATTGATATTATATCTTAAAAAACAGATAAGTAACTTTAGCTATTTTAAGCATTTTGTTAAAGCCTAAGCTTATTTTGAGTTTTACATTCCCAGATATTATTCTCATTCATTCACTCATTTATTCATAAGTCTCTGGTTCTGTAATGTCCTTTACAGTCCTGAGCATTAGCTCTATTTGCTGCTCAAGGGTTATTTTTAGTGGTGTCTAGAAACACCTTTTTTTCCTTGTCTTGATTTTAAAACTATCACAAATATTTAAGGTTGGCTGAAAATTGGGCTCTGAATAAGCAAGGCTTTACTATGACTTCAAAGAATTATTAAAAATAAGCCTCCTCCTATCTGGCAGTTTGAAAATGAGGTTTTCCAGTTTATCTAAAATTTTAGTGAAAAATTCGTTGGAAAGATATCAACTTGTGAAGAACAAAATTCAGTTAGTAAAGTTTCACAACAACACTAAATTGGACAAATTATTCTATGATAATAGTAGTTATCATAGGAAGGCACTGTTCTAAGTGCTATACAAACATTAAATAATTGAATCCTCTATTGTTTAATAGATACTTTTAGGTATTAGAGTATCGCATGGCCTTCGGATGAACATCAGTTGCAAATGTACATACAAGTAGGATAAGAAGGATTTAGGTTAAGAGTGTAGCTTACGATAAATATAAATTGGTCAGTTTTATGATCAGATATATTATTCTCTCCAACTTTACAAAACCACACAGTAGCTATCAAGTGATGAATGTAAGTTCTGATTTACTAGGTAATATCTTACGTTTTCTTTTAAACCTTATTAGTTTGCCCATAAATCTTATTCTAGAGCCATCCCTAAAAATATACATCCCTAAAACTACACATTAAAAACTGACATCAACACAAAGTCAAATGAATCTTTAGGGGACATCATATAGTTTTGTAAGTGGAAGCGTTACACGTAATAAAATATAAAACAAACGCTTTATAGGAACTCTAATGAAAGGAGCTGATTTACATACCATGATCTTTTACACCATGATCTTTATTTTTTTTAGATAAACTAAAAAAATTTTTTTTGAGACAGAGTCTCACTCTGTCGCCCAGGCTGGAGTGCTGTGGCATGATCTCTGCTCACTGCAATCTCTGCCTCCTGGGTTCAAGTGACTCTCGTGCCTCAGCCTTCTGAGTAGCTGGGATCACAGGCATGCATCACCACACACTACTAATTTTTGCATTTTTAGTAGAGACGGGGTTTTACCATGTTGCCCAACCTGGTCTCAAACTCCTAGCCTCAAGTTATCCACCTGCCTCAGCCTTCCAGTGCCTAGCCCGATAGCATGATATTTAGAATAAGACATACTTCCACATTATAGGAATGACTTCTTCAATATAACATTTATTAAAATTCTTCCATAGGCCAAGTTTATAAAGTTGATGTGAATTCAGAAGTATGACAATTTGAGCCATTCTAAAAGATTTTTACAATAGGTTAATTATATGAAGACTTGCCTCAAATTTTAGTTTTATGTATTGCTTATACCTCAAATTAATCTGGTCTTCATTTAACAATTAAAAGACCCATTGAACTTAATTTCAAAAGTTTATTAGTATGTGAACGGTACGCAGAAATTTTACCATTTTAGCAACTTTTCTGAAATAATTTTAAAATGAAAAGTTAAAAAAATAAGGTAGCCACTGTTTACTCTCTATGCAGTCAAACAATTGAAAGTGTAGAATGTTTAATGAAGTAATGATATTTACCATAATGCCCATCAGTTATTTTCCTTTTAACAAGGCTATTAAAATAAATATCATTTTCTATTGGTAAATTAAAGATATATCATTCTCTCTGATATCCTCCTTCCAAAACACATACTTTAGAACATATAGATTTTGAAAAAAAAAAAACTAGGGAGTATACAATGGTAGAATCACTTTGGTGTTACCATTGGCAGGTTTTTTAAAAGTAAAACATTTATCTACCCAATGATGAACAATGCCACTCCTAGGTATTTAGCCAAGATAAATAAAAACACACACTTTCAAAAAATTATATGGCAGCTTTATTCACGATAGTAACAAACTGGAAACCACCAAAATGACCATTGACAGGTGAATAAAATATATTCATACTCAGCAACAACAAGGAATGAACTACTGATACAACAACAAAGTGGAATGAAAGAACCTGGACACAAGAGTATTTTTAGTCTAAGAGAAGCAAAACTAATCTATTGTGACAGAAATCAGAAAGTGGTGCCTCTTGAGTAGTAGCAGTTAAGAAGGACTGAAGGGCCATAAGGAAACTCTCTGGAGTAACTGAACTGTTCTATACCACATTTTCAATATCCACAATAATTGTATATTGTAAAAATAAAGCAATTGCAATGAAAATTATTGAAATGAAATTGAAATGAAATGAAAATTGAAATGAAAATTATTGAAATGAAAATTAGTCTCTCCTCAATTGAAATGAAAATTATTCTCTCCTTAAAATACATTTTCTAAAAGAATATGTAACAGAAACAATAATGGAAGAGTTTTAACATTTCTATTTTTATGATGCTTACCTGTCTAAGAGCTGATCGTGTTTTTCTAAAGCATCCTTTTCAGCCATCACTGCTCGTTCCTTTTCAGCCACAGCATTATCCCTTGCTTCTCGGAGATTTCTAAATTTTAAACATGGATTTCAGTTATTTCAAATGCGTGATTTATCTATGTTCTTTCTTAAAGATGGACTATCTGACAATCTTAAGGACCCATCTGAGAAGTTGGGGACCCAAAGTGTACACTATATAAACCTGCTTGGCTTGGTTGAGTATCTAAGAGCAGGATACACCAGTGTAGGTGCCAGTATGGTCTATCTCTATGTCACACCACCCTTCTCCGCATGGGTCAAAGGGTTGGCTAACCAGTTTGTATATATAGTAATTTATGTATTCCTTACGAGAATCCAATGAGATAGGTGTAATTATTCATATATTATCCACTAGAAAACTGAGGTTTGGGGAGGTTAATAAATGTCCCATAAAATATTTTAAGTGAAAGATATATTGTGGAGAATCAAAATAAAAGTGCGGTTTGGGATACGAGCAAGAGAATCATTGAAATGAAGAACCTTGAAGTCTCAGTTATATAGGAAGGAATGGGAAGGAAACACAGGTTGACAGACAGGAGAAAGTAGAAGGGACAAAGAATTAGAGGTCCTGATAAGATATGACAGATTAAGTCAAAGTGTAATAGTTGTACAAGCAAGATGGAAGACTGGAGAATGGTGATTTGGAGGTAGAACAGCACTTTTCAGTGGCAGAATTTTGGTGGCTAACAAGATCGGGTATGAAAATTAGTATGACTAAATTAAGTAGATCTGAGATGAAGGTCAATATTCATGTAGGGCTCAAAGAAGTATGAAGTTAGGGTACTGGAAAAGTCATCTACTTAACAGTTGTGAGGACAGTAGGAAGGAACTGAAATTGATAGAAAGAATACATTTAGTGTCAGTTAAGGGGAGCTGGAAGATAACAACAATGACTAACTGGGAGATTACACAACTAGCCATGAGCTTCCAAAGATCAAAACTTTTGCCTTTTAATCAAGATGAAACTTTGAATAAAAAAAAAATACCAACAGTAAGTTTCTTTCAGATAGTCACCTATTTTTTTTTTTAAATCTCCTTCTCTAGCAGTTACAACATAAATAAAAAGAATGTAATATAAATGATTTTGCTCACTTAATCCCTACAAAGCCCTTTATGTTATAACCTACTTTTTAGCTGAGTAAACTGAAGTTTAGAGAGCTCATATACCTAGCCTCAAGTCACACAGCCTAAGAGGACCATAAGTTGAATCCAGTTATTTCTTACTCCAAAGCCAGGGCTTTTTACATCATGCCACACTATCTCTCATGAAAAACTGGGTTGGAAATTATTATTTTTTATTATTCATACAGAATATGAGTAGGGAGTCATGAAAGCCATAAAGTTTGAATAAACCTATCTATTGAATATTGGATAGAAATGCTTAGTAGTCATATTTGCTGTACCAGTACTCAATCTAGTCTTTTGCATGGTGGTGCTGTCACAGGATCCTTGGGGCGTCACTTTGTCAGCTGGAAACCTTTGTGGCCAGTGGCGCCTTTGCCCGAGTTATGCTCAGGCCCACTGGGCTTGTTCCACCCACTCGGCCTCACAGGCTGTACTCGGCTCAAGCTATACTGGCCGGGATCTCACACCTGCTGAGGGCAAGCCAAGTGCAGAGCAGCAAGGGGTGTGTGAGCAAGGGGTGCGTGAGCAAGTCAGTGAGTACAGGGTTCAACCACTGCACACAGCAGGGCACACCGGCTGCCGTGGGGTAGGCGGCTCCAGGCTTCCTGTGAGGCTGCGACTGGACAGGCATACTGAAAGCAGCTTCCACTGCTGGCACCGGGGAATGCAGTGGTGTCCGGAAGCTTGGAGATGCCAGGAACTGCAGAGCCCCAAACAGGTGTCAGAGCCCTTGCTCAGGGAGCTCCTAGGTCTGGGCTCCCCAAAGGGCTGCAGCAATTCTCTCCTTGTTGCAATGTGGCGAGTGAGGGGCATGTTTCAGCTCTTTTTGTGTTACAGCTCTTTCAGTCCCACCATTAAGCAGGTCCCAAGTTCTCATCCTGTGTCCAGGAAGAATGAAGTACACAGACAACCGGAGCATGAATAAGACAAAGAGGTGCTTCCCTGAGCAGCAGTACAGCTCTCAAGAGATCTGGAATGGGTAGCTCCTAACTGCAGGCAGGCCATCCCACTGTCTGCTCAGCTCTTGGCTGAGAGGAGACCCACAGTGGGTAGATTCTCTCTGCAGGCAGGTTGTCTCTACATCTGCTCAGCTCTCAGCTGAGAGGAGACCCACAGTTGGTAGCTCCTCTCTGCAGGCAGATCGTCCAGAGGTCTGCCAGAGTCTGGGGTTTTTGTGGGCTTCAGTGGGGAGGAAGTATATGCTGATTGGTCCATAGGTGGCAATGGGTGGGCCAGAGGAAAAAAGTACTGTAAGTTCTCACTCCGTTCTGTGAAACTGGTGGCGCAGCTCCCATGCTCCAGGCTATCCCTGGCTTGAGGGTGGGGCTTCACCAGGGACCCACCCCTTTCCGCCCAGAAGCCAGCCTGCCTCCTGCCGCCATCAACCAGCTGTAACCTGGCGCCCAGCCTGGAGTGCCAAAGGGCACCTGCAGGCCTGCACCAAGACACCCTCATCCCCCACTTTGGCCAGCCTCCCTTCCGTGCTTGTCAGTGTCCAAAGTCCAGAGGAGGCCGAGGTGGCAGGGGGCTGGGGTGTCAGCAATGCCCCAAGAGCGGGCACACCTGCAACAGTGCCCAGGCTTGGCCTCAACTTTGCTCTGAAATCAGAGTGGGTGCTGGGAGTAGGGAGAGGTCAGGCAGCGGGAACAGGCATTTCTGAACCCGTGGGGGAAGGGGGCTCCCTAGGCCGAAGATAGTGAGGGAATGCCTGGGTCCGCAGCTGCGACTGGGCCACTGCAGCTGCGCCTGGGAGGGCTCCCGCCCCTCCAACTCGGAAGGGGTCTGGGTTTCTGCCTGTTTCCGGCTCCTGCTGGCTCAGTGGAGCATGCAGCCCTGGACGCGCCTCCCCCACTGCAGCTGGCATCTTTACAACAGCTGCTCCAGATGGGCCGCTGCTGCCATCAATATTAACAACAAATTTAAAATTTTAAAAATGTCAACCATTAGAGATTTGTCAGTAAAATAGTTGATAAGCCAGAAATAAAATAGTTTCTTCAGAAATGCTGGAGTATAGATAACTCTTATTGAAAAGAAAAGAAACTACTTTTGTGGGTTACTAAGTGGAAGTGCATTCTAAAGTAGCTATCAAAAAATGGCATATTATTATTTTCAGATGTCATCCTGATTGCAACAACCTTCAAAAATATTCTATTCTCAAACAAACTGAAACATAAAAAATTAATGTTATAGATAAAGTTCTCAAACTATATTAAACATTTATATATTTTTCATTTCGAAATGATGTAAATATTTTAGTCAGTAAATCACCACAAATTGGTTTCAATGTTCATTTCTCAAATACAGCTTCATTATTCTATATGTTATTTCGGCAGCACAATTACAAGTAGAGCACATTTACAGGACTAATGAATCACGAATGCTCAATTGGTAGATGGAGAAGCTTCAGTCCCTAATAACATTTCCTTTCTTGCAACAATGGACATGAGAAATGAAAACAAGACAAAGGGAATGAAATAAAACCTAGAACAAGCTAACATCAGGGCTTGTGAAAGGAGGTATGATTAGCGGGTACTATGTTAAGTACTATGTTAAGGCATAAACAAAATTCTATGGCCACAAAGAGAAGGAGTTGATTATTCTTTACTGGAGTAAGAGAGGTAGGTGAATAAAGTGAAACATTTTTTAAAAGTGACATGTAAGTTGGGTCTTGAAGGACAAATAGGTAAAGCAATTCAGAAAGAGAAAACAGAAATGAACTGGGGAATGGACCAGAAGAAGCTAAGGCTTCTACCAAGAGGTCCTCTCACAGGTGTTTGTGGGTAACATTTCTGTGTAAACCCAATCTCCTTATCAAGTACCACACCTTCCATATCCAGTCCACAACCTGCATTCTTTAGCAAAACGCAGCATAATTCCTTATAAGAAATAGATACTTTATTTAATATTACCAATTCACAGGTTTCATATGAAGTCTGAGAGAGAAAAACTCAATGTATTCTTCTACTGACAATAAATAGCAATAGCATACTGTTTACCATGTGCCAGAAGCCGTCCTAAGCACTTTACATATCACAACTCATTTAATTGTCACAACAATCCCACAAAGCAGTTGTATCATTACCTCCATTTTACAAATGATAAGACTAAAACACAAAGAGGTTAAGTATTAGCTTAAAGTCACACAGGAAGTATGCTACAGAGTCCAAATGTGCACCCAAACAATTTGGCTCCAGAGTCTGTGCTGTGAATCATACTATGCTGCCTCTTAAAATTTCCTTTGCTTCACAGATGTTTTCTCCTTGAGAAATTCTGACATTATGAGATTTATATTACATGACCACCTCAAGGCACCAATAGATGGGAAATCAAAATAAGCCTTGAAAGAATTGTGAATATACTATACATTAGCTTTTATGGCCCACAGTATATAACATGCTCTTTCAAAAATAAACTGTTTGATAAAATGCTAGATGTATTCCTTCCACAGATAAGACAATAACTTTCATATAATAAGTAATCCATTTCAAATGTTAAATGCATTAGAAAATATAACAGAAATACAATTACAAAACAAATTACAGGAATTCAAATGTTCTTCAAAAGAGAAACTTCAAAAATTGATAGAAGCTATCCGTAGCATGTACAAGCTAACGAAGCTCAAGTTTTAGAAGTCCAAACCAAGCGTATAATCAAATGTAATTATAACAAAGAAAGATAAGTGTTTTAAAATACAAAAATCTGAATATGTCATCCTTAAAATACTTGTATAAAGTTAACGTTAGATTCCAACACTGTGTTTTTCATGATTCTTTCATGTTGTTTCCTAGCAATTCTATGTATCTCCCATATACACATATGTATTTTTCCCATTCACCCTATGTTGTGGGATGGAGACATACTGAGAGGAAAGATTGAAGAAAATAAATCTTAAATAAATACTATGTGAAATGCAAAGGGTAAGTGAGTATCCTACTTTTATAACTAGAGTATTCAAATAATGTATTTTTCAACCTGGTGCACTTTTTAGAATAAAAGAGGGTGCTATTAAAAATTATGCCAAAGAAACACACACAAACCACTACTTTCTTAGACAAACCAAGAGGTATGGTTACTTAAATTATAACATTCAAATGAGAAACTTAAAGAGTTAAGTTCTTTTTTTTTTTTTTTGAGACGGAGTCTCACTCTGTCACCCAAGCTGGAGTGCAGTGGCGCGATCTCAGCTCACTGCAAGCTCCGCTTCCCGGGTTCATGCCATTCTCCTGGCTCAGCCTCCTGAGTAGCTGGGACTACAGGCACCCGCCACCATGCCGGCTAATTTTTTGTATTTTTAGTAGAGACGGGGTTTCACTGTGGTCTCGATCTCCTGACCTCGTGATCCGCCCGCCTCGGCCTCCCAAAGTGCTGGGACTACAGGCGTGAGCCACCGCGCCCGGCCAAGAGTTAAGTTCTTAATCATTTACTTAAATAAAAGGGTTTTAATATTATAACAAAATAGACATAATTCATATGCAATATAGTGCCATTTGTGCAGCAGATAATTTAATACACAGAAGTTTATTCAACAGTAGCTCACAACTGAAACTTGAAAACCTCATTATAAAACATTCGTAACAATAGACTAACGTACAGGGTAGAATGTATTTGCCTACTACTAGATGATAAATTTCACAGTACCAATAGGCTGAATCTACATTTATATCTGAAAAGTGGTAAGAAAAATGTCAGAAGAATGAGAAAAACTTTAGGACCCTTCGAAATTCAAACAGTATCAAATCAGAGTTTGGCAATGCAAGGAATACGTCTGAGCCTGAATAAACATCCCTAATGCCTCAGAACTTAAAATTTACCAAGCATAAATAGTGAAAAAACAAAAACAAAAACAAACAAAAATAACCATGGCTATCAGAAGAGCTCAGCAGGCGCAACTAAGCAATCCAAACTCTTCCCTCTGTCTTCATGTAAAAATATTTTTGGCTAATAGAAGTAAATATATTTTTCTAGTTAGAACAACAAAGGATTAAAATAGGCTGTTTTATATGACAGGCTTATTTATAGGAAAAGTGTTTGAATTTATCATCTCTACCTCCAGCGTCTTCCTGGACACAACATAAAACTGCTCATTTCCATATCTGATGCCTTTGTTTTTAAGATGGCATAAAATAGAAGGGTTGCATGTAGATTATCTTGTTTCTATTCAATGACTGTAGTTTTACCTTTATCATAGATGACTGAAAAGTTAATGAGCAGGACATAAAAACGAAATAAGCAAAGTGGAAATCTTATTTAATAAATTTCTTGGGAGAAGCTATACATTTTAAGAGTAGAAACTTTTTGAGATCATTGTTGACTGAAAATGCTACACTTTCCTAACCTTTTATTATAGTTGGTGCCTTGGTTTAAAAGTTTTTGTCCTCCAAAACTCATGTTGAAATTTAACTTCCATTCTAACAGTATTAAGAAGTGGGACCTGATAATGGTGATTAGGCCATGAGAGTGGGAATGGTGCCATTATAAAAGGGTGAGTTTGGCTCCCCCTTGCTCTGTCTCCTACCTTCTTGCCTTATGCCATATGATAATGTAGTGAGAAGGCTCTTGCCAGATGCCAGTACGTAGATATTGGACTTCCCAGCCTCCAGACCTGTGAGCCAATAAACTTCTGTTCATTATAAATTATCCAGTCTCAGGTATCCTGTTATAGCAGCATAAAATGGACTGAAGACAATTGGTGCTCAAGCAGATTTTTGTTTGTTTCTAGATATGAAAACTTAAGCACAAAGTAGATAAACATTGAACCCAAATTATGGTTGAAAAATTATAAAAAATTGAAGTACCAAAATGCAAAATATTTGCTTAAATCCATTAATGTGTTAAGATTTACAAAGTAGCTGACAGGATAAAAGGTAACATATCAAAATGAAACAGAATGAATCTGGTAGATGGTTAACTGAGTAACTACTATATATCTTCAAACGACACTCAGTCCTGATCAAATCCATTATAAACCTTTGAGTAGGTTTTCATCTAAACCAACAGCCACCTAATTTCTAAAAAGTAGTACCAATTCATTCTTTCATTCAATAAATATTACGTATATTGAGTGTTTACTGCGTACCAGGCACTGGTACCTGGGAGTCCAGGACTGAACGATACATGAAAACTCCTACTCTCATGGAGATCACATTCTAGTAGGAAAAAAACCCAAAGTAAATAAATATGTAGTATGTTGATAGATTAAAAACAAAGACAACATAGAACAAAGTCAGAAAAGACCACAAGAACAGGTGTATCATCAGGAGTAGATGGTTATGCAGTGGAAACTGAATACAAAGGACCTGAGGTAGGAGCACACCTACAGGTAAAAGAACAGGAGGCCAGCATAACTATGCGAGTGACCAGAAGAAAATCCTAAATGAGGATAGGATAACTGAATACTGATCAGGTAGGATCACAGGCCACTGTAATCATTTAAAGTTTTACTAAGTTTAATGATGGGGAGCCTTTTTATTTGAGTAGAGGAGTGATCCAACTTAACATTTAACAAGAACTGTGCTAAGAGACTGGAGAGGGCGAGGAAGAAAGCTGGGGACCACTTAAGAGGCTACTGCAGTAATTTTTAGGCAAGAGATAATGGTGACTTGAAGCAAGGTAATATACGTGAGATAGAGATCATAAATCCAAAAGGATTTGCTAATGAATAGAATATGGAATGTGAAAAAAGATGACTTCAGGTTTTTGGTCTGGGCAAGTGGAAGAATAGAGTTGTCTTTAATCGAACTGGGTAAGACTGAAGGTGGAGCAGAATTGGGAGGTAGAATGGAACAGAAATTTGCTTCTGAACACATTAGGATAAATATTATTAATAGATAACCAAGTGGAAATGCCATGGAGGCAGCTGCAAAAGTTGTCAAGAAGATGAGGAGGAACCAACAAAGAGAATGAGTAGGTGCAGCTAATGAGGAAGAGAAAAATTTAATAGTGTGTGACACTATGGAAGCTAAAGATTGTGTTCCCAGGAGTAGGGAGTGATCAACTGTGTTACATACTGCTAGTAAGGTGAAGCATGGTAAGAACTGAGAAAATGACTACTGGATTTGGGCAACATGAAGGTCTTAGGGGCTTTGGTATAAAAACATCTTTGTTGGAGTAGTATGGGGGTGCCAAAGGCTTGATAGTGGATATGAACACACACTTCTCAAAAGAAGACATTTATGTGGCCAAGAAACATGAAAAAAAGCTCATCATCACTGATAATTAGAGAAATGCAAATCAAAACCACAATGATACCATCTCATGCCAGTCAAAATGGCAATTATTAAAAGCCAAGAAACAACAGATGCTGGTGAGAAGCAGGAATGCTTCTACACTGTTAGTGGGAGTGTAAATTACTTCAACAGTTGTGGAAGACAGTGTAGCGATTCCTCAAGGATCTACAAGAAGAAATAACATTTGACCCAGCAATCCCATTACTAGGTATATACCAAAAGGACTATAAATCACTCTACTATAAAAGGAATATAAATCACTCTACTATAAAAAGACACATGGACACATATATTTATTGCAGCACTATTTATAGTAGCAAAGGCATGGAACCAACCCAAATGCCCATCAATGATAGACTGGATAAAGAAAATGTGGTACATATACACCATGGAATACTACACAGCCATAAAAAGGAATGAGATCATGTCCTTTGCAGGGACATGGATACGAAGCTAGAAACCATCATCCTCAGCAAACACAGGAACAGAAAACCAAACACCACATATTCTCACTCATAAGTGGGAGCTGAACAATGAGAACACACGGAAACAGGGAGGGGAACAACACACACTGGAGCCAACTTGGGGGTGGGGGGCAAGGGGAGGGAGAGCATTAGGACAAACAGCTAATGCATGTGGGGCTTAAAACCTAGATGGACCCGTTGATAGGTGCAGCAAACCACCATGGCACATGTATACCTATGCAACAAACCTACATGTTCTGCATTTGTATCATAGAACTTAAAATAAAATAAAATAAAATAAAAAAGAAAAGAAAAAGTCCTCTTTGCTAACTTCAAAAATTATAAATGCTTGTCTGGGAATGGTGGCTCACACCTGTAATCCTAGCACTTTGGGAGGCTGAGGTCGGCGGGGAGGATCACTTGAGCTCAGGAGTTCAAGACCCAGCCTGGGCAAAACAGTAAGACTTCATCCGTGTGTGTGTGTGTGTGTGTGTGTGTGTGTGTGTGTGTGTGTGTGTGTGTGTGTGTGTGTGTGTGTGTGTGTAAATAAAATTACAGATGCTTTTATAAAGCTCTAATGATCCATACTCAGCCCTCAAGCATGGAATGTCGTTTGCAAATTCTCTTAAAAGACAGAGTTTCTCCATCATTCTCAGCAAACTAACACAGGAACAGAAAACCGAAACACTGAATGTTCTCACTCATAAGTGGGAGTTGAACAATGAGAACACATGGAAACAGGGAGGGAAACATCATACACTGGGGCCTGTTGGGGTGAAGGGCTAGGGGACGGAGAGCATTAGGAGAAATACCTAATGTAGATGACGGGTTGATGGGTGCAGCAAACCACCATGGCATGTGTATACCTATGTAACAAACCTGCACGTTCTGCACATGTATCCCAGAACCTAAAGTATAATAATAAAAAAAGACAGAATTTCTATTTTAAGTAAATTAACTTCAAAATTGTAGTTTTGATAGGAAATCTTTGATCAGTTTACATAGCACTGACCAGTTAAATGGGAGTGTGCACTGCATTGCAGAGTCAGATGTATCTAGTTTTTACCAACAAATGTTTATAATAATCACAGGCAAGTCACAGTTGATGTCTCAATTACCTTACTTGTAAAATACGGTTATTAATACCTAAACTTCATAAAATGTGTTTCTTTTTCTACAACGTATGTAAAGTGTTGAGTACAATGCTTGACGCATAATAGGTACTCAATAAATAGTAACTATGCTTACTATGCTACCTAAATATGAAAATGTAAATTAAAACGTGATGTTAATTTAAAGGTTGATAATTACAGCAATGTTTCCTCAAAGTTTTTATTGTATAAAATGAAAGTGATACTATTTTTAATGGCATCCTAGGGAAAACAGAGAAGACTGTTGGAGGGGCTTTAGCAGCTTAGGGTTCCTTCTACTAATCTGAGGGCTAAGTGGAGTGAAATCTGGGGCACAGCAGAGAAACATCTCTAGTAAAAAGCTGTGTGATCTCAGATAAGCACTTTTGAGCTTGGTCAGGGCTGCCACATCTGTAAAAGATCAGAAATTAGGCCAGGCGCGGTGGCTCATGCCTGTAACCCCAGCACTTTGGGAGGCCGAGGTGGGTAGATCACCTGAGGTCAGGAGTTCCAGACCAGCCTGACCAACATGGCGAAACCCCGTCTCTACTAAAAGTACAAAAATTAGCTGGGCATAGTGGCACATGCCTATAATCCCAGCTACCTGGGAGGCTGAGGCAGGATAATCACTTAAACCCGGGAGGCAGAGGTTGCAGTGAGCCAAGACTGTGCCACTGCACTCCAGCCTGGACGACAAGAGCAAAACTCTGTCTCAAAAAGTCTGCATTCTGGAGCTAATGGCCATGCCTTATCACCAATCACTCTGACACTACTGAGGTAGAAAAGTTGGGGTCGTTCCTGAGGTTCACTTCCTGTCAATCACCAGATCTTGCCAATTCTCCTACGTATTCTTTAAATTCATCCATCATTTTCTCTTTCTACTTATTTTCATCACCTAAGCTGTGCAACAGCCTCCTACGTGATCTCCCTGCTTCTAGGCTTTCTTCAACTATAATCCACCCCGCATTGCAACCGTAGTTATAAAAAATGAGTAAGTCATGTTTCTTTCCTACTATAAAACCTCTGGAAATTCCCCACTGACAACAGAACCTTTAAAATCTGGCCCAATCTTACTTTACCAGCCTCTCCTAACACACAACGAATTACACCACAAAGGTATATCTAAATTCCTATGCAACCTGAACTTACCTTGCTTCATATCTGGAACACCCTACAGAGCTTGAAATTTTTAAGTATTATTAATGAAGCAGTGAACACACGTTGTAAACATCTAAGGAGTAAAGAATATAGTTAACAATAAAAGATAACTGATAATAAAAATTAATTTAAAATATTTGAGAAGATGCTGAGAGAGTTATCTGCAGAGCCATATACTTCAAGAATTATCTAACTGAAAAGACAAAGTAATTACTATTAAATTTTTCCATGGAAGAACTTAAAACATTATACAGATACCTGGTAAGATATGAACAAAAGAAGTTTGTTTGTTTGCTTAAGCACTAATGAGGACATACACTTTTAAAATGATGACTGGAACCTCTGTACACTAGTTAAATTCACCATTGTAATACAATACATATACTCAACTAACCTTTGTAAATAGATTCAAGATTCAAAGTTGTTTAATATCACTCTAAGATTCTACATAAATTTCAAGTTTATATCATTAAAGTTTCTTCTTGAGTACTTTTGGAAGATAAATTGTGGTCAAGATGGTTTTTATTGATTCGGCAGGAAAATAAAATCACTAAAGCAATACTAATTGTTGCACTTAAAAGCATCTTTTCAATCTCTTTTTCTCTACTGCCTACCCCCTTTCAAACAATTGTAAAGCTATTTCAATTTCCAGATTCTGTACTGCATCAAGAGCATCATGAATACCTCTATTATCTTTTGTAGAGCACCACTCAGAATAGCTCTGTGTTTACAGTTAACAAGACCACCTTAAATAAAGGTAGTTTTACTTTATGGAAAAACTTAATCAGCTGAATTTATCTCCCTTTACCTTATTATCTCATAACCTAATTAGGAAACATAAGCTAGCCATCTTATGCAGAAATTTAGACAGAAAAGAATGGCATGTAGACCCTCTACGTCTGTATTACGTCATTTAAGAAAACTGGTTAAATGCTATGGAGATAAACACTTAAGAATATATATTTTGTATTAGTATCTTCTAATGATAAATAATCCCATAATATTATCAGATGACTTTTATATAATGGTGATTTTCCTTAAACTGTCAACATAACAGATGAAAATATTTTCTTCAAGTATTCTACATAGGCACAAGGTACCAAAATAACTCATCTACATCTATAATTTATAATGTACTTTTTGCATATATTATTTCATTTAGACCTCACGGGCCACCCTAAAAAGTATTATTAGTTAGTTATTATTATTTTTTGAGACAGGGTCTCACTCCATTTGCCCAGGGTGGAGTGCAAATGGCATGATCTTGGCTCAGTGCAGCCTTGACCTCCCAGGCTCAGGTGATCCTCCCACCTCAGCCTCCTTAATAGGACTACAGGCCTGTGCCACCACGCCTGGCTAATTTTTTTTGTATTTTCACTAGAGACGGGGTTCTGCCATGTTGCCCAGGCTGGTCTCGAACTCCTAGACTTAAGCAATCCATCTGCCTCAGTCTCCCAAAGTGTTGGTATTACAGGTGTTAGCCACCACACCTAGCCTATTAGCCCATTTTATAAAAGAAGAAATTAAACTTCAGGGATATTAAGTGACTTATCTGCTGAGCTAGTAAGTGGTAGAACCAGGATCAAGTTCAGTCTTTTGATCCAAATCTCTTTCATAATATACTCCCACTCACAGAATGTCTTATTTCCAAATGCATAAGAGGGTCCATAACATTTCTGTCACATAATACCTACTAAGCAAGAAGTTATTTATATAATACATCTCAGCACTGTAGTACCTTTCACTCATTTCCTACAGCTCCAAAGTGGAATTTTAAGTAACTAGAAAATACAGAAAAGACAAAAAAGCTTAATTCACAAACTGGACCAAAGCATACATACATATTATAATTTCAACTACAGTATGTTTGATGTATCTAAATATCCAAGTTCTCTCTTCATTTATAATTGCCCTTTTCTTAAGTCTTTATATCTTCTACTCTCTTTCTTTTCTCTCAATACTTTAACTTCAAGAACTAGTGGAATGACTGCAGGTCAGATACCAAGATTGGACAGAGTAAGTTCCATGTGCCTTTTCCATATTAAAGAAGAGAAAAGAAAAAGTATCCTTTTAATATCCTCCAATGTATAGACAACAAATTAAAGGCAAAATATATTTCATTAATCATCATTTCAGTTTCTTTAGAAAATGTTTATTGGGGCCGGGCATGGTGGCTCACGCCTGTAATCCCAGCACTTTGGGAGGCCGAGGCAGGCAGACTACCTGAGGTCAGGAGTTTGAGAACAGCCTGGCCAACAGATGGTGAAACCCCATCCGTACTAAAAATATGAAAATTAGCCGGGCGTGGTGGCGCGAACCTGTAATCCCAGCTACTCAGAAGGCTGAGACAGGAGAATCGCTTGGACTCGGGAGGTGGAGGTTGCAGTGAGCTGAGATCACGCCACTGCACTCCAGTCTGGGTGACAGAGCAAGACTCCGTCAAAAAAAAAAAAAAAAAAAGTTTATTGGGGGAGAGATAAGGAGACCAAATATAAATATGCAAGTGTAAGTACTTCATCCATTTCAACTTATTGTAACAGCACACTTTGATAAAATACTAGTAATTAACATAATTACACATCTCAGGCCAAAGCAAAAGATTAATTTACCTAAACACACACACACAACCTTAAATGTGTAAACTTATTATGAATTTCATGTTTTATAACAGGAAATATTAAAATTCTTTCTTTAGCCATTTTAAGTTCTAAGATTTCAAAAGAAGTAATTTATAATTTACTTTTTACTGTGTGGAAGATTAGTATGATACAAGCTCTAACTACAGTTAAATCTGCCATAATGAAGAAACTATGATCCCCAAAGATTACATAAAACATAGAGTTGGATTACTGTGAGATTAAAATGATAAAGGCAAGCCTGTACACCTAGCTAGTTAGGTGTCCTGTGAAATTCAAATTCATCTGGGCTCAGGCTGCAATTTGGCACCACCTGGTGGCAATTGTCCACTCTAGCCTCAGTATACATCCAATCAATTCTGAGCCCTGTGGCTGGCTGGGGCATCCACAGGGCAGCCCCAATCCCAGGAATCCCCTGGTTAGGTAGTGTCCATTTTGATGTGGATAGGGGGTCAGAAGAACACTGGAGACAAGGAGACAAGGACATCTGCTTTCAGTTTTCCTACTTCCAGAAACGGCTCTGTTGGTTGTTTCCCCACACAGCCTTACCTACCAACCTACCCCTACCAACCACATTTATGTTACAATGGGATAAACTTTAAAGATTTTTTTTTAAAAAACAGCAAAAACCTAAAAAATGAGGAAATTTTCAAGATGATTACATACCAAAGTTTATATGGCTATGTGGATTGCTTAGGAATAACCATAGGAAGTTCCCATATATTTTAAAGTTATTATATCAGTCAACAAAAGCCTATTAAATCCACAACAGAATTGAACCACAGAACCAACAGTACTTATTTGTAAAATAGTAATAATACTATCTATACCACAGGCCTCTCTAATTCCCAGATCTTTCTCTTGAGGTTCAGATTCTTCTACAGTCAACTCTTTTATTTGTAGATGCCACAGACACTTCAAGTGAAACAACTAAATTTATCATGTTTTCCTATTAAAGCTTTGTATTTTCTAATGTTTTAAAAACTATATCACTATTTATGCAGCTGTTTAATTCAGAAACCTTGCTGACATCCTTAACGAGTTCTCATCCAACCAATCCAATCTAGTCACTGAGTCCTGTCGGCTCTGTCTCCTAAATACTTTTCCAACCTGGCCCATTTCTCTCATCTTTACTGATACTAATCCAGTTCCATTATCACCTCTCATCTGGATAATGGAAATAACCTCTAAAAGTAGACCCTCTCTGTCTAACAGGCTTATGCCATTCCAATCTATTCTCTACATTACAGTGATCTTTTGATATAAAATCAGATCAATTCATGCCTCTTCTTAAAATCTTTCAATTGTTCCCCACAGGTCTTACATAATGGTCCAAATGCATTCTTTGGGCCCATTTCCTGCTTCTGTTTCATCTCTTTTAACTCCCTGCCTCTCAGTCTATCCTTCAGCCATACCGAATTAGTTTGTTCAAAAAGCTTCATTTTGTCCTTTTTGTCCTACTTTCAGGCTTTTATATATGCTATATATTCATTCCCCCAATTTCCTTTCCTTCCTTAGTTCATAGTGTTAATGCAAACTAAATATGGCCTTAAGAAGGACTCCGTACTTCTATATTTGAGTCCGTATTGACAAACTGCAACCTAACTTAATAGGCAGACAAGATAGAAAACCTAACTTGGGGGTATGTGCCTGTAACAACAGCTGAGTCTGGGCCAACCCCAGCAGCCATACTTCAACCATTCATACACTGCTGAGTGTTCAAATAAGTTAAACACCAACCTATAACAAATCCAGCTGTTTCTGTATCTCACTTCTGATTTCTGTATGCCACTTTACTTTTTTTGTCTATAAATTTGTTCTGACCATGAGGGACCCCTGGAGTCTCTCTGAATCTGCTGTGATTCTGGAAGCTGCCTGATTTGCGAATTGTTCATTGCTCAATTAAACTTTAAATTTAATGTGTCTGAAGTTTTACTTTTAATAGTAGTTTTAGTCAAAAGGGGCAGTTCTTCATTTATGAAGTCTTCCCCAATTCCTCCCAAGGCTAGGTTAGATACACAGGTGGTCTCATCTTTTATCCTATCATTTTGTCCATCATCATCATACTTATGATAATTGTTTCTCTATTTGTCTTTACCCTCCATTAGACTACCAGCTTTGTGAAGACAAAGGTCACCACTACCTATGATGTCTAGCATTTAGCTGGCAAATGGTACATTTCAATAAATATTTGCTAAATTCATTAATTTATTGCTCTGAAAATTACATGAGGGTGCAAATGTAAAACTTTCCAACATAAAGCTTAGCATTTAATAGGTGTATACCTCTTCTTTTAGTCTGCATTTTGAACTTTCAGAGCAAGTAATCACAAGGTACAGGATCCTCCTTTCTAATGTAGGGCTGGGACGAAGTAAAATTTTGCCAAAGATAGAGAATGTCTTTGGAATTCTCTCTCCAATCTCTTAATAACTCTGCTGCCCTAAGCATGTACATTCATAAAACTGTTATACTTTTGTAATGAACATGAAGGGACAACTAAGTGCAAAAGCAAATGAATCTTAAAATCATAAGGTTATGTGAAGAAGCCACAAAAATATATGTGTATACAGCATAATTCCATTTATATGATACTAATATAATATGAAAAACTAAACTATATTGTGCAGAGATGTTTATATACTGGAAACATAGATAATAAAAGTCTAAGGAGAAGCAAGGAAGTTATTAGCATAACAGAATAGCAGTTATGGAAGACAGGAGTTAAGCAGAAAGAGTCTCAAGGACATTTCTGTAGTGCTGCATTATTCTACTTCTTTATAATTATTTATTTAATGAAAACTAGGAAATTTTCTCTTAACATCTGTTATTTTATACACATACATGCAAACATATATGGTCAAAAAAGAGAACAATCATAACATAGTAATTAAAATAAAAAATAATGCTATTTAAAGAGTGGTCCAATATTTCTTTGAGCTACTTGGAACAAAATTTTCTCAGGATTCAACATATGAAGGCTAGCTTAGGACTTCAAAAGCCTTATTCACATAAAAGATTATGGTGCTCCTACTAGTAATTCGATACTCAAATATTAAAATATAAACTAAGTGTAAACAAATGCAGAGGTGTTTTTATTTTTCCCAAGATAAAAAATGTTATTTTAAAAATTAATATGTCAAAACATTTTTTAAGAATACGTATAATTTCTTCTGGCATGCACACGTATTTGCTGGTGCCTAAAGCATATTTTTAGTTTGTCTACTGCTAAGATAGTACTGAATGATCACTTAGAATTTTTATATTTTGAAATTCTTTGCCATTTTCATTGAAAATATAATACTAGATTATAAATATGACATAATTATTTTAAAGCTCAAATAAGAGAAGAACAAGAAAAAATAGGCAGAAGAGTATAATCACAAAGTATCTGTTGAATACACAAATGAATGATTTCTTTTGTGTTCAGTGTTTGAAGTTCATATTAATTTCCTTTGGCGTATACTTCTAATGCAGACTTTCAAAAAAGATCAAACAGGTAGATAAAGATCTATGCAAGCCAAATTTATGAGGAAAATAATAATCTGATTTTCATGAGAGTCATTTTATGACTTTCTACTAAGTCATATTTAGCAAAAATCCTAAAAAAGTTCTATCATAAATTGTATATCTACTCTCTTATTACCACAAATATTTTTACCCAAGAACAAAGAAACCTGAGAATAAAATCATACCCCTCAGAGGCATTAGCATAAAAATCTCTACCAACCTGCTATATTAAATAACAATTTAACAGTAATTTAAAAATATCTTTGTTAATTTACTACCAAAGGATAATTCTACATATATAGTTTTTATAGTAGTGGCTAACTTATAAATACAGCAACTTATAAATAAGCAACTATAATACAGCAGCTTTTTTTTCCTGGAATTGAGGGGTGGACATACCAAATTTTCTGCTACTATATTCCTAGTAGAAATGACATGGTACAATGCTATTATAGATTAAGTCTGATTTAAAGCCTTGCTGACAACAATCAAAATATCATATAAGCAAATCAGTGCTGATAAACTAGTATCACAAGTCAATTTCAAAATAATTTTCTCATTAAAATATAAACTTTCAAAAACCACACTGACTATAATAACGGTATAAAAATATCTGCCATTGAAATAAATAGTATTTATTTTCCCTGAATTCTGCCAATCACTAACTAGGTGAGCCTAATATTTACTGATCTAAAAGTAACTGCATGAATAAAAATGATATTTCTTTTTTCTTTTTTTTTTTTGAGATGGTGTCTCGCACTTTCGCCAAGGCTGGAGTGTAGTGGTGCGATCTCGGCTCACTGCAAGCTCTGTGTCCCCGGTTCATGCCATTCTCCTGCCTCAGCCTCCCGAGTAGCTGGGATTACAGGCGCCCGCCACCATGCCTGGCTAATTTTTTGTATTTTTAGTAGAGATGGGGTTTCACCATGTTAGCCAGGATAGTCTCGATCTCCTGACCTCGTGATCTGCCCACCTCGGCCTCCCAAAGTGCTGGGATTACAGGCGTGAGCCACCACGCCCAGCCAAAAATGATATTTCTTCAGGATTACCTAATACGACATCTTTCGGAGCCAGCAGCTAAATGAGGCATATGTATATTTGAAATTACTATTCTAGTTTTAACAAGTTTCCAGGAGAAATCGTTGCTATAATACAGGAAGAACTGATATCTCAGCACTCTTTACTTTTTATCTGTCCTCAATCTGAACTGAAGCAAATGCAAAAAGAGAAGTCACTAGGGTAAAAAAAAAAGACATAACAGGAATAACAGAGCAAAAAGGTTAAAGTCTAGTAAATCTTGTTCTAAGACTTTAGAACTTTCATGTTCTCATTATACTTAGATTTCAATTTATGACAAGTTTTCTCTAATGTATTAAAAAAGACATTATATAATAAATAGCATTTAATTTCAATAAAGCTTCTAAAACCTCCAAAGATAAATAAAATACCATACAAGCATTTTTTTTTTTTTACCTGTTTTCTCGTTCATACATTTCCCTAGAGGCATTTCGAAGTTGATCAATTTCTTGGTTGGTTTTCAATCTGATTTGTTCTAGTTCATCATGTAGTTTATTTTCATATTCTGTTTTATAATGGTCTCTGCAAGGAGTGAAAAGGAACAACCATAAATTTTCTTTTGAAACAAATAGGCTTTTGCACTGTACGTAAGATTTTAATACCTTTTATCAAGTATGCTCTATAAACTGTGTTACCTGAAAAACTTAACTATTAATAGTATAAAGTTTTATAATTCCTAAAAATACTGTTCCTAACTAGTATGATCTAAGATTTCAACCTGTTAAACATTATTTTCCAAAAGACTTAATTACTATATAAAATCTTAGTAATTCATGTGGGATAATTATTCATCTTCCAAAACACTTTTCTAGTAGTTTTAATGCATATGGTTGAGGCTTCAAAATTGAGAATGTCCTTCATTTAAAAATAATAATGTGGTAGGATGATGTTGAGAGATGAATAATATTAACAAAAATATAAAAATGAAATGACTCGGAGTCTATGAATCCTTTGCTTCCAAGCATGACAACCACAGCCACACCGTGATCTTTTAGCCAAGTCGAAGTATTATATAGGGTATGAAAAACTACTACAGGCTAGGAAAAATTATGAATGTGTGAACTCTTTAAGAGTAAAATTTACCTTTACCTTTACCTTTAAGGTAAAATTTGTTTTGTTTTAGTATTTTTTTCTTTTTTTCTTAAAGAGATAATGCCTTGCTCTCTCACCCAGGATGAAGTACAGTGGCACAATCATGTAACCCCGAACTCCTGGGCTCAAGCCATCTTCCTGCCCCAGCCTCCTGAGTAGGCAGGACTACATGTGCTTGACATTGTGCCTTGCTAATTTAAAAACTTTTTTTTATAGAGACAGGGTTTTCGATGTTGCCCAGGCTGGTCTCAAACTTCTGGCCTCAAGCAATCCTCCTGCCTTGGCCTCCCAAAATGCTGGGATTACAGGTGTGAGCCACTGCACCCAGCATGTTTGTTTTGGTATGTCGATATAATTCAAGGGTTATAAAAGCGATTGATATTAAGGTACTTCAGTAACTTCTACACATCCAGTAGAAGAAAGAAGGCAGGACCAAAACATAGGGAGTCTGATTGAAGGGCATATAAGTTAAAACACAATGCGATACCATCTCCTCATAATTCTTTTACATTTCACACAGGAAATCGTTAGCATACTGAGATTTTCTTCCAAAATATACTTCTATAGAGATACTTTCATACTTTCTTTAAAAAAATACTTCTATAGAGATATTAGTCATAGGAATTTAAAAAATTATGCCACAAATGAAAAAACTGTCATAGCATATATCTATCTATCTAAAAGAAATAGGCTTTTGATATTGCTGAAAAAAACCACAGTGTCTTTTTAAAAACCAACTAGAAAGTAATATTGTGTAAGAAAATAAAATTGATAGATAAAACTCCTAGCTCCCTGGGACAGAGCACCTGGGGAAAGGGGTGCCTGTGGGTGCAGCTTCAGCAGACTTAAACGTCCCTGCCTAACAGCTCTGAAGAGAGCAGTGGGTCTCCCAGCACAGCGTTTGAACTCTGCTAAGGGTCAGACTGCCTCCTCAAGTGGGTCCCTGACCCCCGTGTATCCTGACTGGGAGACACCTCCCAGTAGGGACCGACAGACACCTCATACAGGAGAGCTCTGGTTGGCATCTGGCAGGTGCCCCTCTGGGAAGAAGCTTCCAGAGCAAAGATCAGGCAGCAATCTTTGCTGTTCTGCAGCCTCCGCTGGTGATATCCAGGCAAACAGGGTCGGGAGGGGACCTCCAGCAAACTCCAGCAGGCCAGCAGCAAAGGGGCCTGTCAGATGGAAAATTAACAAACACAAAGGAATAGCACGTCCACTCAAAGACCCCATCTGAAGGTCACCAACATCAAAGACCAAAGGTAGATAAATCCACAAAGATGAGGAGACACCAGTGCAAAAAGGCTGAAAGTTCCAAAACTCAGAACGCCTCTTTTCCTCCAAAGGATCACAACTCCTCGCCAACAAGAGAACAAAACTGGACGGTGAATGAGTTTCATGAATTGACAGAAGTAGGCTTCAGAAGGTGGGTAATAACAAACTCCTCCAAGCTAAAGGAGCATGTTCTAACCCAATGCAAGGAAGCTAAGAACCTTGAAAAAAGGTTAGACAAATTGCTAACTAGAATAACCAGTGTAGAGAAGAATATAAATAACCTGATGGAGCTGAAAAACACAGCATGAGAACTTCAAGAAGCATACACAAGTTTCAAAAGCCAAATCGATCAAGTGGAAGAAAAGATAACAATGACTGAAGATCAACTTAATGAAATAAGGAGAGAAGACAAGATTAGAGACAAAAGAATAAAAAGGAATGAATAAAGCCTCCAAGAAATACGGGACTACGTGAAAAGACAAAAATACGTTTGATTGGTGTACCTGAAAGTGATGGGGACAATGGAACCAAGTTGGAAAACACTTCAGGATATTATCCAGGAGAACTTCCCCAACCTAGCAAGACAGGCCAACATTCAAATCTAGGAAATACAGAGAACACGACAAAGATACTTGTTGAGAAGAGCAACACTAACACACATAATTGTCAGATTCGCCAAGGTTGAAATGAAGGAAAAAATCTTAAGGGCAGCCAGAGAAAAAGGTCAGGTTATGCACAAAGGGAAGGACGCCCATCAGACTAACAGCGGATCTCTCTGCAGAAACCCTACAAGGCAGAAAGAGTGGGGGCCAATATTCAACATTCTTAAAGAAAAGAATTTTCAACCCAGAATTTCATATCCAGCCAAACTAAGCTTTGTAAGCAAAGGAGAAATAAAATCCTTTACAGACAAGCAAATCCTGAGAGATTTTGTCACCAACAGGCCTGCCCTAAAAGAGCTCCTGAAGGAAGCACTAAACATGGGAAGGAACAACTGGTACCAGCCACTGCAAAAACATAACCAAATTGTAAAGACCATCGACACTATGAAGAAACTGCATCAACTAACGGGCAATACAACCAGCTAGCATCATAATGACCGGATCAAATTCACACATAACAATATTAACCTTAAATGTAAACAGGCTAAATGCCCCAATTAAAAGACAGACTGGCAAATCGGATGAAGAGTCAAGACCCATGAGTGTGCTGTATTCAGGAGACACATCTCATTTGCAAAGACACATATAGGCTCAAAATAAAGGGATGGAGGAATATTTACCAACCAAATGGAAAGCAAAAAAAAAAAAAAAAAAAAAAAAAAAAAAGGCCGGAATTGCAATTCTAATCTCTGATAAAACAGACTTTAAACCAACAAAGATCAAAGGAGAATAAAGGGCATTACATAATAGTAAAGGGATCAATGCGGCAGGAAGAGCTAACTATCCTAAATATATATGCACCCATTACAGGAACACCCAGATTCATAAAGGAAGTTCTTAGAGACCTACAAACAGACTTAGACTCTCATACAATAATGGTGGGAAACTTTAACACCCCGCTGTCAATATTAGATAGATCAATGAGACAGAAAATTAACAAGGATATTCAGGACTTGAACTCAGATCTGGACCAAGCAGACCTAATAGACATTACAGAACTCTCCACCCAAATCAACAGCACCTCATCACACTCACTCTAAAACTGACCACATAATAGGAAGTAAAACACCCCTCAGCAAATGCAAAAGAACAGAAATCATAACAAACTGTCTCTCAGAACACAGTGCAATCAAACTAGAACTCAGGATTAATAAACTCACTCAGAAGCGTACAACTACATGGAAAATGAACAACCTGCTCCTGAATGACTACTGGGTAAACAACGAAATGAAGGCAGAAATAAAGATGTTCTTTGAAACCAATGAGAATGAAGACACAACATACCAGAATCTCTGGGCCACATTTAAAGCAGTGTGTAGAGGGAAATTTATAGCACTAAATGCCCACAAGAGAAGTCAGGAAAGATCTAAAACTGACACCCTAACATCAAAATTAAAAGAACTAGAGAAGCAACAGCAAACAAATTCAAAATCTAGCAGAAGACAAGAAATAATTAAGATCAGAGCAGAACTGAAGGAGACAGAAACACAAAAAACCCTTCAAAAAATCAATGAATCCAGGAGCTGTTTTTTTTTGTAAAGATCAACAAAATAGATAGACTGCTAGCCAGACTAATAAAGAAGAGAGGAAGAACCAAACAGACACAATAAAAAATGATAAAGGGGAGCTCACCAACGATCCCACAGAAATAAAAACTACCATCAGAGAATACTATAAACACCTCTATGCAAATAAGCTAGAAAATCTAAAAGAAATGGATAAATTCCTGGACATACACCCTCCCAAGTCTAAACCAGGAAGAAGTCGAATCCCTGAATAAACCAATAACAAGTTCTGAAATTGAGGCAGTAATAGCCTACCAACCAAAAAAAAATCCAGGATGAGATGGATTCCCAGCTGAATTCTACCAGAGGTACAAAGAGGAGCTGGTACCATTCCTTCTGAAACTATTCCAAACAACAGAAAAAGAGGTCCTCCCTAACTCATTTTATGAGGCCAGCATCATCCTAATACCAAAACCTGGCAGACACACAACAAAAAAACAAAATTTCAGGCCAATATCCCTGATGAACATCAATGTAAAAATCCTCAATAAAATACTGGCAAACCAAATCCAGCAGCACATGAAAAAGCTTATCCACCATGATCAAGTTGGCTTCATACCAGGGAGGCAAGGCTGGTTCAACACATACAAATCAATAAACGTAATCCATCACATAAACAGAACCAATCACAAAAACCACGATTATCTCAATAGATGAAGAAAAGGCCTTTGACAAAATTCAACACCCCTTCATGCTAAAAACTCTCAATAAACTGGGTATTGATGGAACGTATCTCAAAATAATAAGAGCTAGTTATGACAAACCCACAGCCAATATCATACTAAACAGGCAAAAACTGGAAGCGTTCCCTTTGAAAACTGGCACAAGACAAGGATGCCCTCTCTCACCCCTCCTATTCAACATGGTATTGGAAGTTCTGGCCAGGGCAATCAGGAAAGAGAAAGAAATAAAGAGTATTCAACTAGGAAGAGAGAAAGTCAAATTGTCTCAGTTCGTTGATGACATGATTGTATATTTAGAAAACCCCATTGTCTCAGCCCAAAATCTCCTTAAGCTGATAAGCAACTTCAGCAAAGTCTCAGGATACAAAATTGATGTGCAAAAATCACAAGCATTCCTGCACACCAATGACAGACAAAGAGCCAAATCATGAGTGAACTCCCATTCACAACTGCTACTAAGAGAATAAAATATCTAGGAATATAACTTACAAGGGATGTGAAGGACCTCTTCAAGGAGAACTACAAACCACTGCTCAAAGAAATAAGCGAGGACATAAACAAATGGAAAAACATTCCATGCTCACGGATAGGAAGATTCAATATCGTGAAAATGGCCATACTGCCCAAAGTAATTTATACATTCAATGCTACCCCCATCAAGCTACCACTGACCTTCTTCACGGAATTGGAAAAAACTACTTTAAACTTCATATGGAACCAAAAAAGAGCCCACATAGCCAAGACAATTCTGGGCAAGAAGAAGAAAGCTGGAGGCATCATGCTACCTGACTTCAAACTATACTACAAGGCTACAGTAATAAAAACAGCACAGTACTGGTACCAAAACAGATACATAGACCAATGGAACAGAACAGAGGCCTCAGAAATAACACCACACATCTACAACCATCTGATCTTTGACAAACCTGACACAAACAAGCAATGGGGAAAAGATTCCCTATTTAATAAATGTTGTTTGGAAAACTAGGTAGCCATATGCAGAAAACTGAAACTGGACCCCTTCCTTATACCTTATACAAAAATCAACTCAAGATGAATCAAAGACTTAAATGTAAGACCTAGGATCATAAAAATCCTACAAGAAAACCTGGGCAATATCATTCAGGATGTAGGCATGGGCAAAGACTTCATGTCTAAAACACCAAAAGCAATGGCAGCAAAAGCCAAAATTGACAAATGGAATCTAATTAAACTAAAGAGCTTCTGCACAGCAAAAGAAACTATCATTAGGGTGGATAGGCAAACTCCAGAACAGGAGAAAATTTTTGCAATCTATCCATCTGACAAAGGGCTAATATCCAGAATCTACAAAGAACTTAAACAAATTTACAAGAAAAAACCAAACAACCCCATCAAAAAGTGGGCAAAGGATATAGACACTTCTCAAAAGAAGACATTTATGCAGCCAACAGATATATGAACAAATGCTCATCATCACTGGTCATTAAAGAAATGCAAATCAAAACCACAATGAGATACCATCTCACGCCAGTTAGACTGGCAATCATTAAAAAGTCAGGAAACAACAAGCTGGAGAGGATGTGGAGAAATAGGAATGCTTTTACAGTGTTGGTGGGAGTGTAAATTAGTTCAACCATTGTGGAAGACAGTGTGGCAATTCCTCAAGGATCTAGAACTAGAAATACCATTTGACCCAGCAATCCCATTACTGGGTATATATCCAAAGGATTATAAATCATTCTAACATAAAAGACACATGCACACGTATGTTTACTGCAGCACTGTTCACAATAGCAAAGACTTGGAACCGACCCAAATGTCCTTCAATAACAGACTGGATAGAGAAAATGTGGCACATATGTACCATGGAATATATATGCTATGCAGCCATTAAAAAGGATGAGTTCATGTCCTTTGCAGGGACATGGATGAAGCTGGAAACCATCATTCTCAGCAAACTATCACAAGAACAGAAAACCAAACACCGTATGTTCTCACTCATAAGCGGGAGTTGAACAATGAGAACACGTGGACACAGGGAGGGGAACATCACACACCGGCGCCTGTCGGGGAGTGGGGGGCTAGGGGAGGGATAACATTAGGAGAAATATCTAATGTAGGTGACGGGTTGATGGGTGCAGCAAACCACCATGGCATGTGTATACCTATGTAACAAAACTGCATATTCTGCACATGTACCCCAGAACGTAAAGTATAATTTATAAAAAAAAAAAAAAAAAAGCAAACATATCTCACTTCATTTTTTAAACCCTTCTGCATTATTTGCAACCCAAATTATCCTAATGGATACATCAGCTCATTACTGTATTCAAGAAACGTACCTAAAACCAAATGACAAAGTTTTAAAATAAAGGCACATGGGAAAATTACACCACTTAAATGTATGCAAACAGAAAGCAGAAATGTCAAAATCAAAAAATAAAATAAAATAAAATAAAATAAGGTATTATCTTAGTATTATCATATAGAATAGACCTTAAAAAAATCACTAAATCTTCCCCAAAGCCAAGAGTTCCCTCAAAGAAAATCTGTTAATTGGTATCTATTTACGTGGGAAATAATGCAAATCTTGCCTGGATGCTACATATTTTTCATACATCTCTTCTCTAGCCTTTTTGCTTTCTTCCAGTTGAGCTTGAAGTCTTTCAAGGCGATCCTCTTCATGAGCACAGCGAACACTAAGCTCCATGTTTTGGCGATTAAGATATTCTTTATCCTTTTGCAGTAAAGTAACAGTTTGCTCTAAGGTGACTACCTACATACATGTAGAAACAAAAAGTATCCACAGTGATGCCATCTTACTTTTCAAGCTTGACTGTATTAATTTCTTTCCTTCATGTTTTCATTCACCACATGAAAATTTTCCTTTTAAAAAGGGCTAATTCTTAGCATGCAACTTTTTTAAAATCTAAAAATAGCTACTAAAAGTCTCTTTTTGGGGCTGGGCATGGTTGCTCACACCTGTAATCCCAGCACTTTGGGAGGCCAAGGCAGGTGGATCATTTGAGGTCAGGAGTTTGCGACCAGCCTGGCCAACATGGTGAAACCCTGTTTCTACTAAAAATGTAAAAATTAGTAGGGCATGGTGGCACACGCCTGTAATCCCAGCTATTCAGGAGGCTGAGGCAGGAGAATCGTTTGAACCTGGGAGGCGGAAGTTGCAGTGAGCCAAGATCGCACCACTGCACTATAGCCTGGTCAACAGGGAAAGACTCCTGTCTCAAAAAAAAAAAAAAAAAAAAAAAAAAATTTATCTTTTTGGGAGGAACTACATAACAAAAAAAATGTCTCTCCTTCAAATCTACTCTGGGCTATTTTTTTCACTAATACTATGCTATATAATATAAGTGACTCTAATTATAAGCTTACCTCTTTTGATAATTCACTTCGTTCTTTTGTTTGAATCATGTGAGAGGCTTCAAGTATTTCATGTTTTCTCCTAAGCTCAATTACTTCCTGTTCAAGTGCATCACGTTCACTGTTAAAATAAAATTCAAAGAGACATGTAAATTTTACATCCCCTTGTACAGCGTACACTTTAAAAGGGTTGACTATGTATTAGGACGCTGAATAGAGACACTAGCAATGGGGCTTCAGTGTAATTCCATGAACTATAAAGTACCTACTTTTCAGATTTAGAAGGGACTCTGTTTCAGACCTTGTTCAAATACATACATATCAATTTATTACCTTTAAGGAATATACAAACTACATAAGCCAGTACAGTAAATAATAAAACTTACTAACATACATTTGGTATTTTTTCATTAGTCATCTTCAATCTTATCTTGAGGTTAAAACTTTTAAAGAATGTATACATGGCTCTAGGCTTTCAGTTCAGTTAAGGTAAAAAAAAAAATACAACTTATCATTTAGATTGCATAGTAGATACGTAGGCAGGCATTCTTGTGACTATTTCATTCACAAATTGTTTATGATTACCCAGATTTTAATTTCCATTTTAAGACAAGTTCCCCAAAAAAGTTATACCAAGAATTGGACTAAAACCTACAACACACATTTTTTAAAATGAGCAGAGAAACAGATTTACTAACTCTTAACTACTTCCCTGCAGTCAGAAGCAGTGCCTTTGCACTTTATTTCACTGACCCACCTGGTATTTCCACAGAGAGGGCTGTTAGGAATTGTTTTCCTTTGCATCAGTTTTTCAAAAACGTTTAGAAAGCCTTTTTTCTTCTAGTTAACAAAATATTATGTTTATTGAAGAAAAACTGAGCAAAGCACAAAATAACAATCACCTACAAACCCAATAAGTAAAGATGACTATCAGTATTACTATTCTGATACATATTACTATACGTATTTTGTGCTTTTTTATTTTTAGAATGTTTAGATTATTTTTAATTAAAAAAATTTTTAAATTTTATTTTGTGCTTTCACATGCAATTTTTTAAAAAATCTTTTTTTTAAATTTTTTTTTTTTTTTATGAGATGGGGGTCTTGCTATGTCACCCAGACTGGACTTGAACTACTGCACTCAAGTGATCCTCCAGCCTCAGCCTGCCAGAGAGTTAGGACTACAGGTGCATGCCACCATGTGCCTAATTTAATTTTTTTTTTTTTTTTGTAAAGACGGTCTTGCTATATTGCCCTGGCTAGTCTTAAAGTCCTGGGCTCAAGTGATCCTCCTGCCTGTGCTTCTGAAAGCACTAGGATTACAGACATGACACGCTGTAACCAGCTTGGTTCTTTTTAATGCTTTTACTTACCAATCATTAACACTGTTGTATTTGTTTTGTAATATTAAATAAATATTACTTTGTCATATTTATTCAAACCCTCTCTCTTGTTAATATATGTGAATATATGCAGGTGTCTTAACGGTATATGTGGAGAATGGGTTCCAGACCCACCCCCACAACCTGAATATGCAAATCTGTACATGCTGAAGTCCTGCAGTTGTTGCAGATCCCACCAAACAGTCAGTCCTCTGTATACTCAGGTTTCACATCCCGTGAAAATTGTATTTTCGATTGGTGTTAGGTTGATAAAAACCTGAATATAAGTGGACCCCATGTTGGTCAAGGGTCATGTATCTATATGTGTATACACACCTACACACACATACTCATACATGTGCATTTGTTTCCTCAACTGAGACATTAGGTCCCTTTATCCCTAAATAATTAGTGTGAATTTACTAAGATTAAAGATAGTCTCTTATATAATCACAGTATAATTATCATATTCAGGAGACTTAGCCCTAATATAATATTATCTAACATACAATCCATTTTCAAATTTTGTCAACTGTCTCCCAAAACACCCTTTGTGAATTTTTTTTTCCCTGAGCCAAGGCTCTATTACCATAATGGTAATCCAAGGATCTATTATCATCATATTATAATCTATTACCATGCATCTAGATGTCATGGGGTTTTAGTCTCCTTTAACCTTGAAGATTTCTTAGTTTTCCTTGTGTTTTATGACTTTTTATAGAGCAGAGGCTAGCTGCATCATAGAATGCTCCTCAATTTTCACTTGTCTGAAGTTTCTTCATTATTAGATTCAGGTTAGGCACTTGGGCAGGAATACTACAGAAATGATTCTCAGAAATGATTCTCTGATACAGAAACGCATTCTCAGTATGTTATGTGAAGATGTACTGAGGTATGTGACGTCAGTTTATCCCATTATTGGTGATAGTAACTTTGATCACTAGGTTAAGGTAGCATCTGCCAGAGTTTAACTATAAAGGTATCCTTTTGCCCTTTAAAATTAGTAAGTAATTGTGAAGAGATGCTTTGTGTAAATATCCTATTCCCTAACATACTTATACTTCATGGTTTTATATTCCAATGATGATTCTGAATCAATATTATTATGCGGCTACAAAATGGTCATTCTTACATGCATATACATTTATTGCTTGGATTTCAACCATAAAGATCCTCTTTCCCAAAAAGGATATATTTATTACCACTGAACTGTACACTTAAAAATGGTAAAGATGATGTATTAAAAAAATTTTAAGATCCTCTTTCTGTATTTATTATTAGCCTGCACTTATAAACTCTTATTCTATTCAATGGACTGTAATTCATTATTGCCAATATTTATTGTGATATTCAAGTTTGCTATATTTAGCCAGTTGGCACCTCATCCAAGTGGCTGTTGCAGTGTTGAATTGGAATTAGAAGTATCAACGTGGGCTGGGTGCAGAGGCTCACACCTGTCATCTCAGCACTTTGGGAGGCCAAGGTGGGCAGATCACCTGAGGTCAGGAGTTCAAGGCCAGTCTGGTCAACCATGGAACCATGTCTCTACTTAAAAAAAAAAAAAAAAATTAGCTGGGCATGGTGGCGCACACCTGTAGTCCCAGCTACTTGGGAGGCTGAGGCAGGAGAATTGTTTGAACCTGGGAGGCAGAGGTTGCAGTGAGCCGAGATCGTGCCATTGCACTCCAGCCTGGGTGACAAAGTGAGACTCTGTCTCAAAAAAAAGAAGTATCAGTATGATCTCATCCATAGTGTGTTAAGCCTCCTCCTCATTCTCCCTCTACTTTCTCTGCCTACTCAAAGGGCCTAGAAATAATGACCAATGTAGCCATGACCATAGCACCCAAATCCTAAATTTCTAAATAGCATTCCCCACTAAGAGATCAAGACTTCTTAGACAAAGAGCTGAGGCAATGAAATTACAAAACCAACAAACGAAAACCAAAACTAGGAACATTATGTTATGCCAGAAAATAAGGAACTTTTAGTAAAAAAAAGTGATACATTCAGATCTAATTTAATGATTTTAACTGCTACATAAAATTATATTGCAGAGTAAATCTCAATTTATTTTCCATTCTGCTACTGAAAAGCATTTGAATTTCTTTTAATAATGACACAATTAACATCCATACACCTGTTTCCTTTTGTACATTTGTGAGAATTTACCCGGGGCATAAAAGGGCTTTTTTTTCTTCCCCAGTTTATCTTATATTTTATGACCGATGTTTTTAAACTCATTCATTCTGCTGAGTGAACTAAAAAGGGTCATAGTTTGAGTCCTTTCTTGTTTTACTATTCCATTTCTACCATAAAGATGCTTATCATGCTTTTTGATCAAGGTTATATTTTTCTTTCCTAGGTTTTTATTATAGTAAATGAAAACATATGTAAAAATAGAGGTGATATAATGAACACCCATGCTCCCATCACCCAAATTCAGTAATTATCAACTCATGACTCATCTTGTTTCAATGATCATCCGTGGCCCCGATGGATTATTCTGATGACTGTGCTTTTTAGTTTTCTCTTTTTATATTGTATCTGTCATTGCTATAGACTGATAGTGGCAGAGGGGACATGAAAATACCAACTGGTATCATCTTAGCATCATAATCTATTTCATTTTTATTCTTTTTTATTTTATATTTTTAAGAGATGAAGTTTCACTCTGCCACCAGGCTGGAGTGCAGTGGCATGATCATAGTTCACTGCAGCCTCGAATTCCTGGGCTTAAGCAGTCCTCCCACCTCAATCTCCCAAGTAGCTGGGACTAAAGGCATGTGCCACTATGCCCTCTACTTCATTTTTAAATGCTTCTTTTGAACTCCAGCTTTATTCCAGAGCCCACTGAGCACAGCTCTCATGGATTTAAAGCTCCAATAATTATCATATTTTGGCATAATGCCATATACATAAGAAATACCATGTGTCAGTCATAATGGGAGTAGAAATGACAATCTTCTATCCACAAATCTTTGCAAATTCACATACGGTATTATGCAATTTGTAATTTAAATTACACAATTTAAATCATTCATTCATTTAACAAATATTCACTGACTACTACATTTTAAGAATTATTTCAAGTGGAGTGAACAATTAAGATAAGGTCATTCCATTTATATTACATATGCAGTACATATATATTTAAAGGCTTTCATATTTATTTGATCTTAGTTTATATAGTGCAGTTATCCGTATTAGCAACATCTCATAAATGATGAAACTTAGGCTCAGAATGAAAAGAGATGTACTGAGGGACATACAGCTAAGTAGCAGCTCATTAAATTACTGAACAAACAACAGAAAAGAATATTCCAGTTAAAAAAAGGTATTTGCTATAAGTAGCAAATATTAGGAAACATATTTTCAGAAAGTGTCATTTTTTTTTTGAAAGAGTGTGTGTCTTTTGTCAGGAAGAAACAGCTGAAAAAAACTTCAGGGAAAACTGTTAAGTATTTAAATTGATTCCACTACATAAAAATAATCATCAAATAACACTGAAAAAATATTTACACACGTGTGATTTTACTGGGTTTCTATCTCTGTTTACATTTTAAGACAGCAGTGACATCTAAATAAAACAAAAACAACCAATATAAAAATACAATATAAACCCAACAAACTGCCAAAACTGCATGCATTTGTGCAAAGAAGAATAAGGTAAAAGTAAAATTAACAACTGATTGTTGGTAAAAACTCAGGTGACTTTGATGCACCCTAAAAATAGAGAACTACTACTGCAGCCATTTTAACTACTTACCTCTTGACTTTATCATAGTTCTCTTGACGGTAGTCACCTTGCTGAATTAACTGTTTTGTGTCTGCTAATTCTAAGGCCAAACGTTGACATCTAATTTGAACTTCAGAGTAGTTTTTTCGATCTTCCTCATATGTCTATAAACCAAAGGAATAATAACACATTTCAGACTAAACACTTAACATAGTTGCCCAAATTCTGTATTGAAGTCTTCTGTTAAGCTGTGATTGTCCTTGTAATTAAACAGTAAAAAAAATTCCTCAATTTTTAAATTTAGTAATTTTTCCCTATTCAAAGGCAAGTAATCTTAAGTTCACAGAGTGGTCTGTAAACTCAGTTGTTTAAAACTTAAACTGTTTTTCAAATAAATAACACAACAACTATGTTTTAGTTACTAGGCTAAAACATAAAATGACTACAAATGTTAAATGACTTTTTAAAAACATTTACTGAGTTACTATCAGATGCTGAAGATACAGAAGTGAATAAAACACACTTCCTGTTCTTGAGGATTTTACAGTTTAGAGATGAAAAGTCATATGGATATCAGTATCTACAATGAAAAATAATTAATGAAGAGATTAAACATGCAGTTCCAATTGTGTTACTCAGAAAAAAAGGAATCGTGTGACCCTCGAAACACATCTTTACATTGTTCTTCCCTCTACTCTCCCCATGTCAGTAGCATGTTAAGAAAGGCATTGCTGATATGGGAAGAGCAATGGAAGTAAAAACCTTAAAGTTGGTCACAAGGTTCTTTACAATCTGGTGCTGCTTCCTACAAGCCCCATTTCTCACCATTCCTAACATTCACACTTCACCCTCCAACCCTAATGGAGATCTGAAATTGTCTGAACCCACTAATGCTGCTTCTAACCTGTTCCCACTGCCTGAATACCTGCATATAATCTAAATGCTTGTCTCCTTCAGAGCACTGATCTCACTGTATCATTACCATCACATTAGTTTTCTCTTTATCTCACCAGAGTGTAAACATCTTAAGGGTGGGGATTTTGTCTTGCTCAACGCTGGACCTCCACCACTTTAAACACTGCCAGGTATATAATAAGAATTAAATAAAAGCTAAAAAAGAAATGATTAAATATGGGAAGCTGGGAGGGGAAGCAGACGGGACTAAATTCCTACTTATTTTCCTTCTTTGAACTCATCAAATCTTGCAACCAATCATCAACTCCACCTTCAGAAGCTGGCATGTTAAATGCATCCTGTGTTAAGTCATTACTGCTTAAGTAGCTGGCCAGCTAAATGAGGTCATGTTCACTCCACACATACTGACTGGATCATTTCTGTGTGACTGGTCACGGATTAGGCACTACAGATACAAAGATGAGTAAGACGATTTTGTCCTTTTTAAACTACTAAATGTAACTTTGATTATTTTAGTCCCCAAATTTCTATCAAAGGGCTATTTGAGAGAAGTAATTATGGAAAAACTACATTCAGTGTGTTTTGCTTTGGTATGGTATTATGTTCTTGTTCTACGCTGAAGTTTTCCATGAGAATGGAATGTTACTATGGTACTTATTATGGGATTACAGCTGAGGATACGCTATCACCTCCCGAAAGATCATCACATATATCATTTCGGACCTAAGTCCTACAAGAATCTTTAGTTCTTCTGAAGAATGCTTTATCCTTCTAAACATCATTAATCATGTCACTGTTTTGGAAGAGAGTATAGTGTTATGGCTAGGAAGGCAAGCTCCAGAATTCAACTGTCTAAAACTGAATTCCTGCAGTAAGACTCTGTGCACGTTAGTTTACCTCTCTATTCTGGTGTCCTACCTCAGAGTTCTTGTGAAGCATATATCAAGTAATACATGTAAAGTGCTTATAAAAATGTCTAACGTAGTAAATGCTGATTAACTATAAATTAATATTGTTATAATGCTTCCTCTTTGCTTTGGCTTCCAAAGAGATCATAGCCAAATTAACAGCTTAATAACTGTGCAAACGCCATGACAGAATTTGGAGGAACATAAATACAAGGAATATAAACATTAAAGGATGGGCAAAAAACAGGGATCCCAAAAAACCCAAAGGAGTATTCGCAGAAACAATGGGTAAACCAGGGGTGTGTGTCAGGAAAAACAGTGGAAGACAGTGCTTTGAAGCAGTCAATAATATTGAGAAACACTACTGATTGGTACTAAGAAATATTACCGAGAACCAACAAAAAGCCTTTAAAGTATTTAGCGGTAGGGGCAGAAGGTAGAGTGTTAGGGACTAAAACAAATATATCTAAATACTCAGTATGTCCTCTTTTTTGGCTATTTTATATACATTGTCGACTTAACACTTATGATGGGATCTAAAAATTATCCCCAGTTTCACAGATGAAAAAAACTGAGGCTTGGAAAGTCTCAGAGCTCGTAAGTAGTAGAGTGAGGACTCCAATCTAAGTTTGTCAAATCCAAATCAGTCGGCAACTCTTTCTACAGTTTAATAGTAAAAGTGGAGAAAGTATAGTAGCTAGAGAAGAAAACAGGGCCAATGAAGGTTTTAAAAAATGAAACAAGCTTGACAATATTCAAATATTGGTGAGAAACAACAGCAAAAGATGAATTACTGTTGGAGAAAAGGGGGCATACTCAGGGGAATGAAGCATACTCCTGAAAAGGGCTTTAGGAGATGGGATCCACAGCTTAGATGTGCAGATTAGTCTTAGATCAGAGGCCATGTTCATCAAGGCAGGCTTTTTTCCAGCTGATACAGAGTATTAACAACTTGAATAATTTAGATAGCTCTTATCAATTTGCTACAGGCCACAGCCTAATCTTACCCTACGGCTTCACAAATTTATATTATCCACCTGGTTTCTAGAGGCATATGATTTTCCCATCCCTTGAGGGCGAGACTCTTTCCATTATAAACACTAAGAACAAACAAACCAGAATGAGTGCAGATGTGAGTAGATTTGTTGGAAGGACACTGTGGGAGTTCTCATCTGAAGATTTCCATTTTCTCTGTGAAATGAAATACCAAGTCATCTGCTGAATGCGACAAGAAACGTGGAAAACTGGAGATGTAAGAAGAGTGGCTGGTTGCCTTAAGTAATCTCTGCGAAAAATGAGAGAACTAGAAATAATAGAATTACGACCAATTGTGTGGGTCCATTTGAGGCTGATAACAATAAACTGACAGTGCTTGTTACTGCTTGTGTGATTTTTGCCAGTAGTGCTCAGCTAGAAAAATAAAGAGTTGAGAGTTTTTCAGTCTGGTTTGATAAAAAGAAAGCTGGGAGAGGAATTAGATGATACTGGCAAAAAAAAAAAAAAAAAAAAAAGTTTAAGACTGATAACATGGTGGCAAGGGAAGAAAATAAATTTAGGAAAGGATTGATAAAGAAACAAATTATATGGATTGGAAATTCTGTTAAAGACAAGTTGAAAGCAGACAATGGTAAAACATAAAAAATATAGGAAATAAGATGTTTAGTGGATGAAAGTGAATTGGTAACTTCAGAAGTAAATCAGTTCTGGATGGCAAGGAACCAAATGTGGGCTATAAGACTGAGTGTTAAAATGGAGAAAAGGCAATCACTAGAGATGAGATCAATAAAATTCAAGGCCAAGGCTATAGATGAATTAATCACATAAGTAACCTAGGTAGCAGCTGAAGTGGAAAGGAAGACTAAATCTAGAGCAAGGCTTTCATTAAACAAAGAGGAATGTCCCAGTGGTCTGCAAATGAAGAATACTGTAAGTTGGGGTATCCAGATGATGAGTTCCAAAGAAGCAGTGTTTTCTGTGAGTGCAACTGCAAAGATCTAAAAAGGTAAAGATCATCTGACTCTGAAATATGCAGAGTATTTTAGGATATTCAGAGAGTAGTTCCATGGAAGAATAAATATACAGAGTATATTATTAATGTTATATACATAGTGTATATATATGTATATATTTATAAATTTCCTTTAAATATAAACACCATATGCAAGTATAAACAGAAGCAAGTCTAAGTGCAGTATAAGAATGCACATATTCGACCAGCACTTTATTTACAATTTTTCAATTGGACAATTTCCCCTTAAACGAAATTATTACTTTCGTATTTTGAATTTAAAAATCTCCTGCATTTATTGTTAGCAATTAAAATAGAGTAAGCCATAGCATTGGAAACAGGAAAAATAGCATCTTCCCTCAAAATAAACCCCATGACTATGTAGAACCATTGTTAAAGCTATAGAGAGTAGAAAAGACTATTTTGTATTCTCCTCTGCATCCTTCCATGTCTTGAGCTTAGCATCAACCTTTGTGGGAAGACTAAGCTCCAGCAATAACCTAGAGTTTATCCTATTTTTTCACAACACCTGATTCTTATCTGTCAGAAAATGTATCACATGTGCTGTGGGCAGCCATTACTTGTCTCCCACATCATAAGGAAAACTCTAAGGAAGTTTTCTGTAATCCTAGTAACTAATACTCTGCCTATTATATAGAAGGTTTGCAATTAATGTCTGTGGAAGAGGAGGAACAAAAGAGGACATTAAATAGACTAAAACAAAAGAAGCAAAAAAAGTAAACTTTTCAAACATAAAGAAATGGACACATAAAATTTCCAGTCATCAGCCCTTACTAACAGAAAATTTCTACATCACAGTAAATGGGATAATAATAGCCAAGCCTCAATTTCTGTTCTCAATAAAAGGCAATTACTATGGATGTAATGAATTTCTAAACTCCATTTAAGTCTTTTGTCTCTCCCATGATGTAAACTGAGAAAAAAGCAGCAACCTATGTTTCAAAATAAATCTTTAATAAATGAACAACTCCTGTCTGTGTGGAGGACAACTAAGGAAATTGGAAATAGAATATAATGACATTTACCTTAAGGTTCAAATCTGAAGCAGTTTACATTGGACAGCAGTTCAGTGAATGGTAAGAAATAGTTGGTTAGCTATTCTGGAAAACTAAGAATTCACTTGTCAGAATTCCCACAAGTTTCACATTATCAATAATCTAATCCAGGCAACTAAATACTGAAAAGAACAAGAAACCTAATTAAGCTTTGACTGCTATAGGCTGTCCCTTTATAAGCCACAATGAAGTCTGTTTTGCTGCCAGAGACAACTCTTGTCATTGTTAAGATCTTCAAGAAATTTTTCAAAAAAAAAATTGATTCTAAAGACAGACAAAATCTGAAGTGGTAAAGTCTGCTATGCATTAAAACAAAAATCTTAATAATTTCTATTACATGCTAAATTTTCAATTATATCTATTTGAATACATGTGAATTCAAATAAAAACTTAAGGCTTTTTTTTTTTTAAAGAAAAAAATAACTCAGTAATTTTTTTTTTTTTTGAGACAGGGTCTCACTCTGTTGCCCAGGCTGGAGTGCAGTGGTGCAATCTTGGCTCACTGCAGCCTCAACCTCCCGACCTCAGATGATCCTCCCACCTCAGCCTCCCAAGTAGCTGGGTCTACAGGCATGCCACCATGCTCAGTTAGTTTTTTGTATTTTAGTAGAGAAAGGGTTTTGCCATGGTGTCCAGAGCAGTCTTGAACTCCTGGACTCAAGGAATCCACCCGCCTCAGCCCCAAAAGTGCTGCGATTATAGCCTCCCAAAGTGGGATTACAGGCGTGAGCCACTATGCCCAGCAAAACTCAAGAATGAGGAAAGGTAACTTTCATCACATGTGGTGGACCCTAGATTGGAATAACAAACATGGGTTCAGATTCTGTCTCTCCTACTTTTTGCTCTAGCAAGTCAACTTTTCTGGACTTACCTGATGCTTCTGCAGAGTGTGTATACTAACTGATTCATTGGCTCATTTATTTTTATGTGGTTATTATTGTAGTATAACACTCTATTACTAGTATTAAGACATCACCCACTAGCTAATGGGTCTAGCAGACCCCACCATTGCAAAATGCTACACTGATGTATTAGGAGGCAATTTTTATACCCAACATTTTATTCAGCAAACTACTGTAACAAATTTGAAATACTGGCTTCTCAACAGGCATTGACCCAAATATGATTGAACCAAACAAATTTGAATCTTAATGTTAAAGAGACCAAGTTGCTAAATTATCTTAAAAGTATCACATATTAACCCCCAAATTTATCAATGCAAGAAAAGTATGGATTCTCATGCCTTTTGAATAATTGAGATAAGCCTTAACAGTATTAACAGTGTGATGGTGCATGCCTGTACTCCCAGCTACTCAAGCGGCTGATGTGGGAGAATGGCTTAAGCCTAGGACTTCAAGGCTGCAGTGAGGTGTGATCATGCCACTGCACTCCAGCCTGAATGACAGACTGAGACCTTGTCTGGAAATATAGATCAATAACAATTAAAAAGTATTAACACAGGTGATGGAAAGGATAAAGTCCTGTACCACACTTCCTCCCTCCAACAACCCCTGCAAATTATCAGGAAAAAAAGGAGACTATAACTGAACTACATTTGATTAATATGTTAATCATAAAAATTGCTATTTTAATGAGCTTGTCTTACTTAAGGTACGATGCTTCCATGTTCCAAGATTTTATAGTTTTCTTCAAATGAATCAATTTCTTTTCTTGCTAGAGATGAACGGTGGGGGAACATATTTCATTCACAAGGTAACAAACTCATATGAAGAAAGCGATAAAATCTTAAGTGTTCAACACTAATTGCTGTTGCATCTGATACGTTAATGTGTTCATGAAGCTATTCTCCATGAATTTGCTGATGCAATGGATTATTCTTTCTGTGCTGGAATATACTCTGTTTAATCATAAAGTATTATTCTTTTGATACAATGGTAAAATTCATTTAACATTTTATTTCAAATTTTTACATCTGTAGTAATAAGCAAAATTGGCCTAAATGTTTTATTTTGCTTTTGTAGTCTCTTTCTCAGAACTTTCTTTTTCAATAGTGGGTATAGTATAAGTAAGTGGAACTAGCTGTCTTTTTCTAAATCAACTGTGAACCCATTTGCAGTAATCTATCTGTGAACCTGTTGGTAATTTTATCAGTTGTACACTTTTACTTATTTTTGTAATACCTCTATGGTAACTGTTCTAAATCAAGTTCTCACTTCTGTCAATTTTAGTAATCTATATTTTGTTGGCACAGTTCACTTTCCTTTTTGTTTTCAAGCTTACTGCCATAGAACTGTATGTATTTTCCCTTACTTCATGTCAGTTAATTCCAAACACCTTATTTCTACTCATCTTTTTCCAGCTTTCTCAAGATGAGTACTACATGTATTTATTTTTCATCTTTTTTTTTAAATAATAAAGGCATTTCCGGCTACAGATTTTCCTTTGGCATAGCTTTAAATGTGTCTAAGAATTTTGATATAAAAATGTTCTCATTTTCATTGTTTTATTTCAGTTTTTCTTTGCTCTTTAATCCAAAAGATACGTTTCTAATTGCCAAGTAAGTTTATTCCTCCTCATCTTTAATCTCTGGTTTCACTAAATTATGATAAAAAATAGAAACTATATAATCTGTACTTAAAATTTATTATATAATTTTTTACTTAAAAATTATTTAAGTAATTATTTTTCAATCTTTTTTTTTTTTTTTTTGAGACGAAGTCTTGCTTTGTCACCTAGGCTGGAGTGCAATGGCGCAATCTCGGCTCACTGCAACCTCCGCCTCCTGGGTTCAAGCAATTCTACTGCCTCAGCCTCCTGAGTAGCTGGGATTACAGATGCCTGCCACTATGCCCGGCTAATTTTTGTATTTTTAGTAGAGACAGGTTCACCATGTTGGCCATGCTGGTCTTGAACTTCTGACCTCAGGTGATCCACCCGCCTCAGCCTCCTAGAGCGCTGGGATTACAGGCGTGAGCCACTGCACCCGGCCCATTTTTCAATCTTTATCAATTTTCATTAAGCATATTTCCTATAAACAAATAGAGCTGGGCTTGGTTTGAAGGTCATAATAAGAGTCTTTCTTTTAACAGAACACTGTACATCGATTCCCTCACCTAGTGGAGGCAAAGGAGACTTTATCCACCTTATTTGGGGTGAGGAGTGAAGGGAGTAATCCATAGATTTTTATAGGCCGAGCTCTGCCGACAATCTGTTCTGCTCTTGCTCAGGGTTCTCTCACACTATTTCTAGGCTTTCACTCAAGTCAGGGGAGAGAAATCTCAAATTTTGTAGCTTATCTCCAAGACGGTCTCTATCAATTTCTTCCCTTGTATGCAGGAAGCTATTTTCTGATTAAGAAGTGGGTCCATTCCTCTTAATGATCTGCTTAACCAAAAGCATGTGGGAGAAGCAATTTTCTGGGATTTTGAAGTTACATCCTAAGAAGTCTTTAAGTTTCGCCTGAGTTTCTTGAATATTTGCTTTGGAGGTGGCCAGCTGCCATGCTGTGAGACTGCCATGTTGAAGGATGCCTAAACTAATCACATGAAGAGGCCAAGTGCAAAAGGGAGTAATGTTTTGGTCATATCATCCTGGCTCCAAACTGGTGACTAAAGAAGACTTCAGATGACCCCAGCCTCAGTGAGGTAAGAAAAACTCAGCTGAACCTATCAACCTTCAGAGCTGTGACAAATAATAAATTATTGTGAGACAGCAAGTTTTAGGGTGATTTGTTATGCAGCAATACGTAACTGGAACACTAGCTTTCCCAAAGCTCAAGACTTCCACTCAGATCCAGCTGCCTGCCAGAAGACAGCTGAGAGAGGGATACTTTGAACTGGAAAAGAAAGGAAAAATGACATGCATTCACATTTTCATCTCCTAGAATCCCTTTACTTCCTCCTTTCAACTAAGCCTAAACAGCAATGCTTATTCTATTCAGTAGTTAATGTTGACTATATAATTTAACCTTAAAATAGTAAAATAAGTAGGAGTTCATTTAGCTTTGAGTTTGGCATGACTATGCTCAGTAGTGTGACAACTCTATATTGTCATCATTTTTCTCTATTTGAACTGTGAAACTTTTATTCATACAGTGATGCATGATAGCACCTGGCCTTTATTTGGCTGAAATACCTATCTTACAAATTAAGTTGATGGCTATTTCTTTCTTTTCTTTTTTCTTTCTTTTTTTTGAGGCGGAGTCTCACTCTTACACAGGCTGGAATACAGTGGTGCGATCTTGGCTCACTGCAAACTCTGCTCCCCTACCCCTACCCCGGGCTCAAGCAATCCTCCTACCTGGGACCACAGATGTGTGCCACGACACCTGGCTAAGTTTTTGTTTTGGGGTTTTTTTTTTGTAGTTTTTTGAGACAGGGTCTCATTCTGTCTTCCAGGCTGGACACAATCTTGGCTCACTGCAACCTCTGGCTCCCAGGTTCAAGCAATTCTCTCATCTCAGCCTCCCGAGTAGCTGGGACTACAGGCCTGCACCACCACACCCAGCTAATTTTTGTATTTTTTGGTAGAGATAGGGTTTCACCATGTTGGCCAGGCTGGAGTTTTTGTATTTTTGGTAGAGACAGGGTTTCACCAGGTTGGCCAGGGTGGTCTCGAACTCCTGAGCTCAAGCAATCCTCCTGCCTTGGCCTCCCAAAGTGCTGGGATTACAGCCGTGAGCCACTGTGCCTGGACAGTTGACTACTGTTTTTTTAAACTGTGATCTGTGGTGCTAATGCCATGACAAAATTAAATGCAAACATGGGCAATGACATCATAGTGATAGTACTCTATTATAAATTATTCATTCAGATGAACCATCATATGCATCTGTTAATTTCTGAGGTCATTAAAAAAATTAAATCATAAAGTTAAAAATTATCAAAAAGAACTCTTAGATACTCCAAAACATATCTGTGGAATCTGGCTTAGAAACACTATGCAGATCAAGAGAACGAAGTTATCATGGTATCTCTGGATTTAAACCAAAGTATTTGGTAAGGTCCCTCCTGAGTTTTCCCGTGCCATCATGTAGTGATACATCCTTTTGGCCACTGGGTTCAAAATTTCATCTCAAAACCCAATAAGCCCCTCAAAACTTGCCCCTAAAATTTACAAGTTCCTAGATTTACTAAAGATTATACACACAGTAGCAAAGGGAAAAAAAAGTCTTATGACTCTTTAAAAGATTATGTCTCTTCATACAGCATGTATAAAACAATCAGCTAAATGAAACTTCTTCCCAATTATGTCGTACTTAAAATTGCATTCATTTTAGCTTTCCCATGAATTTTTTTTCCCTCATGCACTTTTATCGTAAGCCATTTGTATTATTTGTAAAAACTTAACAGGTTTGTGAAGGAGCAATTTTTTAGAGGTTTTAGAGGTATAGGCAAGAGAGGGATTTTAGTAAGTCCAAGTTGTAACGTAATAGTGTATGACTTCAATTATATTCTTGAATATGTTAAATATATTAAAACATATTAACTTTATATTGGCGGCAAGAAATGGCATTAATATATACATTTCTCTCTCTTTTTTTTTTTTTTGAGACGGAGTTTTGTTCTGTCACCCAGGCTAGAGAGCAACGGCGCGATCTCCGCTCACTGCAACCTCCACCTCCTGGGTTCAAGTGATTCTCCTGCCTCAGCCTCCCAAGTAGCTGGGATTACAGGTGCCTACCACCACACCCAGCTGATTTTTGTATTTTTAGTAGAGATGGGGTTTCCCGATGTTCAGGTCTTGAACTCCTGACCTCAGGTGATCCATCCACATTGGGCTCCCAGAGTGCTGGTATTATAGCAGTGAGTCATGGTGCCCAGCCAATATATAAATTTCAAATCAGGAAATGTAATTAAAAATTCAAAGTTATTTTTAAATCTCAATTAATAAGTTAACAAAAATAGCTTAAAAAATGATTTGTGGTCAGTGTCCATGAACCCGCCACATTAGAATCTTGGGTTGTTTATTAAAAATTGAGGTTCTGGCTGGGTGCGGTGGCTCACGCCTATAATCCCAGCACTTTGGGAAGCCAAGGTGGGCAGATCACGAGGTCAGGAGATCAAGACCATCCTGGCTAACACAGTGAAACCCTGTCTCTACTAAAAAGATATACAAAAAATTAGCCGGGAGTGGCAGCGTGCACCTGTAGTCCCAGCTACTCGGGAGGCTGAGGCAGGAGAATGGTGTGAACCTGGGGGGCGGAGCTTGCAGTAAGCCTATATTGTGCCAAGGCACTCCAGCCTGGGCAACAGAACGAGACTCCGTCTCAAAAAAAAAAAAAAAAATTGAGGTTCTTAGTTCCACCTCAGACCAAAATAGAACCCATGCAGGTGGCTATGAATCTAAATTTTAAGCAATGCTTATACATTTTAAATTTAATATAAAGAGGCAAATCTATCACTGTTTACTAATTTGTTAAGCATTCTAGGATAATTATAACTGATGGGTATCATCATAAATATGTACCTTACAAAGAAACTTTAAGCTCATCACTTGGATAAGATAAAAAGAAATCTCAGAAAACAGTTAACACTCCCTAAAATATAAAAACTTTAATAAACAAATATGTTTCATCAATGAAATAACTCATTTTCATACAAATAAAATTAACTGAATTACTTACATATGAATACTTAAGATGAACCTCAAGATAATCTTGCAGAATTTTTTAAAGAATGTAACTATGTTTCTAAACAAGGAAGTACTCTTGACAAAATTCTTCTTGCTTCCTAGTTACCAAAGTTCTCATAAGAGAAAAATATTTCACCATTTCCTCATGAAATTTAATAGTTTTATTAAGTGCAGATTCACTAATGCCTTACACTGTATCTCTAACATCACATCCTTTTGATATGAAAAAGCATGCTGAACTAACTCTATAATAGCAAAACAGCAACATATAGCTGAGTTGCATGTGATCAACCAAAATTTTGACCTGCTAATAGAGAAAATTCATAAATAGGAAATAAAGTTATCTATAAGCACTTTTATAAACATAAAGTACCATACACAAGATCATATACATAATGTAACTCAAAATAAGCCAGAATTAGACTACATTACTGACACTTTTAAATAAACTCCGGACTTGAAGTAAAAGATGAGCCCTATTTTCCAGTGTTATAATAGTATCTAGATGTTATTTGCAAATAACTAAAGATCTGGAAAAAATTACAAAAGGAAATCCCAGAAATCCACTAAAACTGCCACTTCAGAAAGAGTAATTTCCTTTTAAAGGTCAAGAATCACATTCTGGCCAAGCGCAGTGGCTCATGCCTGTAATTCCAGCACTTAGAGAGGCCAGGGCAGGCAGATCGCTTGAGGTCAGGAGTTCGAGACCAGCCTGATCAACATGGTGAAACCCCTCTCTACTAAAAATACAAAAATTAGCCAGGCATGGTGGCGCATGCCTGTACTCCCGGCTACTCGGGAGGCTGAGGCAGGAGAATTGCTTGAACCCAGGAGGCAGAGGTTGCAGTGAGCCAAAATCATGCCATTGCACTCCAGCCTGGGCAAGAGCAAAACTCCATCTCCAAAAAAAAAAAAAAAAAAACCAAAAAAAAACCTTCTATTAAATTTCTTAAACAGTTTTAATCTCATACAAACAAAAGCAGAGTCAAATTAACTGTGTAATTGTGTGGCTTTAATGATTTCATGTGGCTTTAACAGAATTTAAAACCCTGAATGTTTTTGGTTTTAACAGAATTAAAAATTCTCAATATTTCTGGTAGGCATAATTATGAAATTAGTGCAATAACTGAGACATCTCTGAATACATATTATGGAACACAAATTTTTGTTTTGATACTCCATTCTCCAAGTTCTAAATATATTAAATTTTACTAGAAAAAGATACTATGTGATTGATTGCAGGCATTTTATATGAAATAATGAATATAAATGAAAATAAGGTAACTAAATGTAAAGCTTTGGGTCTCTAGCTCAAAAATAATCACATTTTCCAAATAGCCCCCAACAGGTTTAATTAAAAAAAAAAAAAAAAAAAAAAAGGGACATATACTGCCCCCAAGTGGTGAAAAAAATTAAGACCATTTTGGATAAGAAAGATCCATAAAGTAAAACGGAAAGACTGAGAGTAATTTTATTTTCTCCAGATTCATGAACTCTCTGTAGAGAATAAACTTTTTAAGTAAAATGGAAAATTTGTTTTCTTAATTGCTGGTCTCAAAACTCAGAGATATGCCTAACAAATACCTTAGTTTCTCTTAGTAAACCACTATGGAGTTGTCATTATTGCTATCATTTTCAGCATTTAGGTGAGTTTCCTGGTATTTTTTGTTTTTGTTTAGTAGCCCTTAGCCTGAGGCCAGTCCCATTCTGTGCCAGGTTGGATGGATCAAGGTGCATGAGAAAATCTTTGGTATTTATGGGAACTGCAGCTGCTCTAAATGAGGAGGAAATTTCAGAGATAGCCAGAGAGGGGAAACTGAATTCTCTGGGTAATTTCTGCTTAAGTATCTGGCTACCCTCTAAACAACATATGTGTAGGACAGACTCTGAGCAGCCCCAATAATACCAAAAAAAATTGAACTGAAATTTGAACACCTGCCCAATAGACAGAGTATGCTGTTTGAGTACAACCAAGTAATTTCCTGCTAAAACAAGAACATCACCACCGTTTAGAGGTACATAAAATGCAGAGTCTCAACAACATAATACTCACAATGTTCTCATCTACACTTACTCGATGGTCTAAACAATTTTAAGTTACTTGACATCTGAAGAAAGAGGAACATGTGACCCATTTCTAAAAGAAAAGACAATCAACAGAGATCAACTCCAAGGTGACCCAGTGTTTGGAATTAGCAGACAAGAATTTTAAAGCTCCTATTTTAACAATTCTCAGTGGTGTAAAGGAAAATATGTTCATAATAAGTAAACAAATAGAGAAATAAAAGCTATAATAAATAACCAAACTGAAATTCTAGAAGTAAAAAATTCCACACTTAAGTACTTACTCAAGAGAAAAAACATGTCCACACAAAAAACCATACTCAAATGTTCTCAGAGCTTTGTTTGTAAAGTCTCTGAATCGGAAATAACTCAAATGCCCATTAAATGGTAAATAACTAGAGCCATTCAATGTAATACCACTCAGTAATGAAAAGGAAGAAATTACTGACAAATGGAAAAAAAAGTTCAGCATTTTCCCATAAAATTAAATGTGACTGGCAGATGGATAGATGGAGAGGTATTTGATAAGACAAATACAATAAAAATGTTAATGGCAGAAATTTACTGATAAATATACTGGTGTCATTGTGAAATTCAAGTTACGTTTGAAAATTTCTATAATAAAATGGCAAAAAATTACACTCTGGGGCAGGTGATCAATTTTGAACATGCTAATTTTGGGAATATAAGCTGATTGATAGTTATTAAAAAGAAAACACATTCATTTATAATCAGTCCACTTACCTTTTGAGACCTTCCTCCAATCTGCCCTACTAGTTTGGTGTTCCACTGCTCAGAAAAACTTTACTGTCTACAAACTTGAGATTATACTTTGTGCTTCCTCATCAATAAATGTATTAAATTTTTTTTTTTGAGACAAACTCTTGCTCTGTTGCCCAGGTTGGAGTGCAGTGGCACAATCTTGGCTCACTACAACCTCCACCTCTCAGGTTCAAGCGATTCTCCTGCCTCAGCCTCCTGAGTAGCTGGGACTACATGTGTTTGCCACCACACCTGACTAATTTATGTATTTTTAATAGAGACGGAGTTTTGCCATATTAACCAGGCTGGTCTCAAACTCTTGACATCAGGTGATCTGCCCACCTCGACCTCTCAAAGTGCTGAGATTACAGGCGAGAGCCACTGTGCCCAGCCCAATAAATGTATTAAAATGTTAAATAATGAATAAGATTGGATTTAACAGTTGTATCTGAAGAATACTTCTATTTTTGTTTTTCATTTAGTTCTTTTTATTCCTTTTTTTTTTTTGGCTCTTATCCTTCACCTACTAAAGAGAAAACAATTTCCTGAGAATTCATGATAACACTTCTTACAAAGTCTGCCCATTTCTCCCAAGAGGTAGAAGCAATTCAGGTATCTATTTATAGATGAATGGATAAAGCAAATGTGGTATATACACACAATGGAATATTATGTAACCTTAAAATAGAAAAAAAAAAAAGCGTAAATTAGTTCAACCTGACTGTGAAAGACAATTGTGGAAGACAGTGTGGTGATTCCTCAAGGATCTAGAACTAGAAATACCATCTGACCCAGCAATTCCATTACTGGGTATATACCCAAAGGATTATAAATCATGCTACTATAAAAACATGCACACATGTTTATTGTGGCACTGTTCACAATAGCAAAGACTTGGAACCAACCCAAATGCCCATCAATGATAGACTAGATACTGTGGCACATATACACCATGGAATACTATGCAGCCATAAAAAAGGAAGAGTTAATGTCCTTTGCAGGGACATGGATGAAACTGGAAACCATCATTCTCCGCAAACCATCACAAGGACAGAAAACCAAACACCACATGTTTTCACTCATAAGTGGGAGGTGAACAATGAGAACACTTGGACCAGGGAGAGGAACATCACACACTGGGGCCTATCAGGGGGTGGGGGACTAGGGGAGGGATAGCATTAGGTGAAATACCTAATGTAGATACGGGTTGATGGGTGCAGCAAACCACCATGGCAGGAGTATACCTACGTAACACTACCTGCACGTTGTGCCTATGTACCCCAGAACTTAAAGTACAATAAAAAAAAAAAAGAAAATTCTGTCACATGCTACAACATGGATAAACCCTGAGGGCATTATGCTAATTGAAACCAATCACAAAGGGGCAAATACTGTAGGACTCTACTCATATGACGAATCTAAACTAATCAAAATCATAGAAACAAAGTTAAAAAATGGTTACCAATGACTGGGGGAGGGGAGAGGGAGAATCAGTGTCTAGTGGGTAGTTTTCAGTGTTGCAACATACAAAAGTACTAGAGATCTGTTGCACAATGTGAGTATTCTTTACTGAATTGTATACATGAAAATAAAGTCTTAAATTTAATGTTATGTTATTCACTGTAATTTTTTAAAAGCCTGCCAATTTTTAAAAGCTAGAATTTAAAACCTGTCAATGGCTTTTTGAAAGTCTATATAATTTGTTCTCTATTTTCTCTTTATATATATGTGAAATATAATTTGTCCATTTGTACCACTCTGTTGACCTTCCCCCATAAGGGGAAGTATTTAACTTGCCTAAGTATTCACTGATCCTAATCTTCATGCATTACACAAGCTCAGTAAGCATAAAAGAGTGCTTTATCAGTTTTAAGTGTGGAGGTCTTTAGTTTCTAGACTCAGGCAGGCAATTTACCAGCTTTCAAGCAATTACACCTACTTCAAGTGCTCTGTTTGATAGCAATATTATACATGTGCTGCAGTTTCAGGTTCATCCTTTAAGTCCCTTAAAATTCTTGGGTGAATACCATCTAGTCATGTTTTTTTCCCCAAAGCTTATATTGTATCCAACTTTAAAATTACATAAAGTCATTAATAAGACTAATGTTGTTTATCTTAAAATATCCAACCTTAAATAAGTATGAGTTGAAGAATAAAATATTTGTTGAATCACTTTATGAAGATCTTTTGAATAATGTCATATGAAAAATTTGGATCATGTCTTATTAAAAGTTAGTAACTTCAGGCCAGGTGTGGTGGCTCATACCTGTAATCCCAACACTTTGGGAGGTCAAGGCGGGCGGATGACGAGGTCAGGAGATCGAGACCATCCTGGCTAACATGGTGAAACCCCGTCTCTACTAAAAATACAAAAAATTAGCCAGGCGTCGTGGCGTGTGCCTGTAGTCCCAGCTACTCGGGAGGTTGAGGCAGGAGAATGGCGTAAACCCAGAAGGCGGAGCTTGCAGTGAACCGAGATCGTGCCACTGCATGCCAGCCTGGGCGACAAAGCGAGACTCCATCTCAAAAAACAAACAAACAAAAATTAGCTGAGTGTGGTGGTGGGTGCCTGTAATCCCAGCTACTTGGGAGGCTGAGGCAGGAGAATCGCTTGAACCCGGGAGGCAAAGGTTCCAGTGAGCCGAGACTGTACCACTGCACTGCAGCCTAGGTGACAAGAGTGTGACTCTGGCTCAAAAAAGAAAAAATTTAGTAACTTTATGGTGGTTGCAGCTATATATCATGGACCTTGTCCTGAAACTTACTATGGCAGTGTATCTTACTTATTGAACACTTATTGAACAAAGTAACACTTCCTTTTATTTGTCAAATTTAGGAAAACAGAATCAGTGTACACACTTTTACTGGATATATTTTCAATTTGTTCACTACAAAATAAAATATTAATTCCTCTGTTAGGACTTAGAACAGACACCTCGAAACATGGCACCCTGGCATACTGAGTATTTTAACCTGAAGGAAATTAAGAAAACTGCAGAAACAGGGGGGTCTCCCTGACCTTCTCCCAACCCATCTCTCTTGAAGTGGGCCACATAAATGAAAATTCCCCTTGCCTCTTTCTCCCTTGAAGCAGGTCATCAAACCTAGGAAGGCCACTCTCTTTCTCCCTCCCCTCTCCCCTAAGGTGACAGGCGTCCTGCCCTATACCTAATGGGAAGGAATGTCACAGACAGCCCAAGAAGAATGTGAACAAACAAGCCTTGCTAAATTCTCCCAGTTGATTACCATCAGATCATACACTTTTGTCTTCCAATCATACTTATGCATGACAATCCACAAAAATACATTTTCCCTGGGTCTTTTAGTCTTCATTTCTGAAGGTTCCCATGTCACATAAAATTTATATTAAATTATACATATAAATTATACATAAATTTGTTATGCTTTTCTCTTATTACTCTTTTATTATTGGAGTCTCAGCCATAAACCTTGCAATGGGTGAGGAAAATATATTATTTTTTCTCCCACTATAGTTAAGAGGAAAATTTACTCTTTTGGGTCAAGAAACTTAAAATTAATGACACCATTGGAAAAGTCGAAATTTTCTTGCTACTTCCTTTGGATATGATGGGCATTTCTCTGTTTTTATTGTCTGCTTCAGGCCAACAATAAGTATATATATGCAGCCCACAGACTGAAGAGGAAAGAAACATGAAATACCACTGGGCAAAAAACACTCAGATAAGAACATTCCAAGTAACAGAAGAAAAAACAGAAAACTTCAAATGAAAAACTGACAATTTCATTTAGCACTTTCATAAATTAGGGGTTTGTGATTAGTTTTAAAAGTCTAGAGACAATGGTTCTCACTGATGACAATTGAACCTCAGTAACCTGACAGTGTCCAATCACCTCTTCAACCTCCCCCAGCCTCATTTAAATAACCCAGATCTTTTTGTAAACCCTCCTCTAGTGGTCATAACATTCTCTATCTTCCTTACTCACTTATAAATATATTCTTCAGTTGTTTTTTAAATCGAAACTCAACTTTTTGTGACATAATTAAAACTCTAGCTATTAAGAGATAAATTATCTCACTTTACTAAATTATTATTCTTTAAACCACTATTTAGATATTAAGAAAGTCCCACAGAACTAATCAGGAGTAATTCAATCAACAAACACCCCTCTGTTCTAGTAGTTTCCCCAAATATCATAATCACAGAAACACATACTATTGGCAATACCCCAAATATACATGACTCTTTTTATTACACGGATAGCACTAAAGTGGGGAGCCTTAAACATAACTATAACTGGGTATCCAACAGTACTACCTACACTGTTGGTTAACAATTACATGAATGTCCTTCTACCGTTGTCGACAATGAGAAAATTTTTATGGTTACAATGTGATTTTAAATACAACAGCTGTCATCTCTCTTAAGGAAAAAAACAAAAAACAAAAAACAAAACAAAAAAACAAAAAAAAAACAAGCCTTCCCTGGCTCCATGTTTCCTGTAATTGCCAACTCTCTTTGTTCCTCTATACAGTAGTATTACTCAGAAAGAGTTGTCTATACTCTATGTCCAGTTTATTTCCTCCATTCACTCTCAAACACTGTAATCAAACTGCTGACCCTATCCCTCCTCCAGAACTACTCTTGACAAGGTTTTCAATGACCTTGTTAAATACAATGTCAATTCTTAGTCTTCATCTAACTGTACCTATCAACAGCATTTGAAACAGCTGATCACTCTCTTTTCCTTGACAAACTTTTGCCCTTTGATTTCCTGGACATAAAATTCTCTTAATTTCCCTATTTCACTGGTAACTCCTCCTTCTCTCTCCCACATTTCAATGTTGAAGTGCCCTGGAGCTCAAGCTGTGGTCTTCCTTCTCTTCCCTACACTCACTCTCCTTTGGTAATCTCATCCTGGCTTTAAATATCGTCTTTATGCTGATGACTCTTGAATGCTTATCTTCTAAAGTTCACACCTGTATATCCACATACCTTTGACTGTACATCTAACAGATCTCTCAAACTCAACATGTCTAAGATCCACACTCTTTTGCACTCAAGTCGGCCTCATTCACAACCTACCTATCTCAGCTGAACAGAAATCTATCCTTCCAGTTATTCAAACTAACATTTTTTAGAGTTAATTTGACTCCTATCTTTCTTTAACATCCTCCATCCAATTCATGACTCTACCTTTTTTCTATTGGCTCTACTTTAAAATAAATCCAGAATCTACCACTTCCCCTGCTACCATCTAGATCTGAAACACAATAATCTCTCCCCTAGATTACAACAGCCTCTTAACAAGTCTCTTTGTTTCCATCCTTATAGCTCTACAGTCTGTTCTCAGGAGAGAACTTTCTTTAAAAAACATTATCCAGGACAACAGGAAGGTTTTAAAATACTCATTAAAAAGAAATTCAATAAAGAAAACATTTGTTGACGGTCTACTATGTACCAGCCAGAATGATACCTTAAATAGACTTGACCCTTGGACGATACAGGGGTTGGGGTACCAACTCCCATACAGTCAAAAAAAAAATCCATGTGTAACTTTTGACTCACTGAAAACTTAACTACAGATAGCCTACTGTTGACTGGAAGCCTTAGTATAACATAGTCTATTAGTACATATTTTGTATGTTATATGTATTAT